>NC_000013.11:81617759-81770600 GCF_000001405.40 Homo sapiens
CAGATAAGTGACTCAATAAAATAATTAAATTATTGATTTTTAAGTATTGATAACTTGACAGCACATTCAGTATTCAAAATTTCTTAAAACAAAATGTTGCTTATTACTTATTTTTTCTTTCTCAGTTCTCCAGCTGTCATAGACTGTACCTAAGAATTACACCCTTTTATATAATGCATGGTCATTAGTCAATGACAGTATATTATATTTTTGGAAAATGCTGAGAGTGCATGTTGTGTTCTTGCCAAAAAAATAATAACTATGTGAGGTAAATTCATATCTCAATTAGCTAGATTAACCATTCCACAGTGTATATACACTTCAAAGCATCATGTTGTATAACATAAATACATACAAATTTGACAATTTAAATAAATGCATACATTTAAAAACAAAAATAAACAATTTAAAAGTCTCTTCATTGTGTCAACCTTTTTATAGAGTATAAATTATGCCATCATGGTTACTCAAAATTATTTTTGTAGTAGTGCAGTTTTTCTTTTAGTAAATCAGTAAATATATTCAGTTTCTGGCATATAACGGTAATGAAATTTAAGACTAACAAAGTATTTGCATGGACACATTATTTTTGTAAAGAATATATAATGTGTGATACCTCATATATCCACAAAAATAAAGAAACATTAGTAATTTATCTAGCTATTTTCACTTTCCTGATACACTTGAATGAGCTAATATATTTAAATGAGCAAAAGATAGTTTTTCAGTTTGCTTGTTGCAAAAGTGTTGCTGAACATATAATTGAATTATCCACTGTTTTTCAAAAAGTAAGTGAGATACAAAAAGGTATGTAATAAGTGAGATATAAAAGCTATGTATGATTGTATGCAATCAAATATTAATAATCTCCTTAGAAGAAAAACTATCACATTTTCAATATTAATATAGTAGTCTGGAATTAATATGCATTTAAAGATAAAAGAATAGGAAATATGGTTTTACCAAGAAGTAATTTAAAAAAAAAGTCTCTTAGAGGAAGTTTAAAGCATATTTCTTCTAAAAATTGGTAACTACTGTTGATCTTTACATTGGAATTTTCCTTCAGCTTTTTATTTTATTTTGTTACTTTTTAGAACACCCTTTTACACTCTCTGACTGCAGGAAATGAAAGCATACGTCTAGAAAATTGTTAAATTCTCCATTTTAGATAACTATTTCAGAGGATTTATTCAAAGTGTATGCTAATGGGTATCTTTCTAAGGAAACAGATTCATGGTTTAAAATATCCACTTTCTCCCGGAAAAGGAAATAAACCTTTTACTGAATCACTGCGATGGAAGTAGTTGTTTAAATGAAGCCTTCCCAAACTCCAAAATAAGTTTGATAAAGTACTTACTAACTTGTCAAACCTATAGTTATTCAAGTTTTCAAGTACTCCTTGAAAGTATTCGTGGAAATATCTGAAATGGGTGCCCCAGACAGGAGGAACAAGTGTAAATCCTGGCAGGATGTTAATTGCGGAGGTACCTGTGTGCTTGGAGTCCATGGAGAAAGGGGCAGAATGGTGAGATGAGGTCTGAGAGAAGAGCAGATATCCAAGACAGTGCAGGATATTATATTCTACGTGAAGATACTGGAATATTTTCAGATGGAAATAGGAAGCATCCAGTAGTTTGAGCAGAGCTGGAATCTAATCTGAATTACATTTTAATTAAAGTACACTGTATTATTTGCTGGAAAAATTAATAAAATAATATCAAACATTCCAGATCAGTAAGTAACTTGTCCCTTTAAAGAGTGAAATTGCAAAGCTAAAACATTGCTCTTATATTACAGTGATATTTGTAAATTCTGAAGATAAATTTAAAATTTAAAATAGAGATAGAAAGTAGAAGGATGGTTACCAGAAGCTGAGAAGAATAGTTGGGGGATGGGAGAAAGGTGGGGGTGGTTTATGGGAAAAACAAAACAATTAGAAAAAAATGAATATAACCCAGTATTTGATTGAAAAACTGGGTGACTATTGTCAACAATAATTTAATTGTACATTCTAAAATAACTAAAAGAATATAATTGGATAGTTTGTAACACAAAGGATAAATGCTTGAGGGGATAGATACTCCCATTTTCCATGATGTGTCATAATGTATTGGATGCCTGTATCAAGATATCTCATGTACCTTATAAATATATATATACACACAAAAATTAAATATTAAAAAATAAAGAATTACATTTTGTGCCACTTGACCTGGTAAGCATAAGTCCATGTCACCAAATTACTTTCCATTACTCCCAGTTGAAGCCTCTGCCAGCTCCTTCTTCATTGTGACAAAACTCCAGCCTGGGTGACAGAGTGAGACCCTGTCTCTAAAAAATAAAATAAAAATAAGAAAATAGTAAAAAAAAAATCTAGTAAACTTGTTTGATAGTTTTTCTTAAAGGGAATTTGTAGATAGGAATTCATTTGAACCTGAAAAGAACAGGCTAAGTGTATATGTTATCTTTTTTTAATATACTGCTTGATGAATCTGAGCAACTTGATGAATGTGAAGATTTCATCACATTTGGCAAGTGGGTATTTTAATAGGTGAAATGATTTATAATTGTGGGCAGGGACATGTTGCCTTTCTAGTTTCTTGGAGATACTGCATCTTCTTGTGTGTTGGTAAGAATGGATTGTGAATAGGATGTTGGGGGCACTCACAGTTAAAACTTTATTACATGTAATTATGAAAACCATTT
This sequence comes from Homo sapiens, assembly GCF_000001405.40. Lineage (NCBI taxonomy): Eukaryota > Metazoa > Chordata > Mammalia > Primates > Hominidae > Homo > Homo sapiens. Next base: position 81,620,466 of record NC_000013.11, read on the forward strand.
GTGGTAGTAAATCCCTAATACAAGATCCACTTAATTGTCTATCCCTGTCTTGATTCTCAGTAATCTACTATTCTTAAATTTCTGGATTTTTTTTCTTCTTACACAGTGATTTTTACCTCTCTTCAGGGTATTTCTTTCTAAAACGTGCACTCAGTACTTACAAGTGGTATATAAAATTATTCTCCTAAACAAAGACAAGTTATTTCCAAAAGATAAAACCTGATAAAATAAGTTTTATCCTCTCACATATACAAGGCACAAAGAAATTACACTAAAACATTTAATGAAAATAAGGATAATTTTAAAATCACATTGTATAATACAATCTGAAATAAATATTGTGTAGTTAAAAAAAAGTGGTTAAAAATCTACATTTGCAAAGTAGATATAGCATAGCTCTTCTGTTCTAATTTACCACTGTTAGAGAGAAAATATGATAATATTGAACAATATGTTTTAAAGAAAATTTTAGAAAAAAATCCACTACATGTTTCCCTGAGTGTCTGAAAAAAAAGTATATATTCTTGAACAGTGAAATATACTCTGCACATTTTATGTATCTCTGTAGCTTTCAAAAGACAATTAATTCCTATCTAAATATGAAGTCATAAGTCTAGTAACTAATTAAAACAAGAATAAATTCCATGCCTATGCCATCTGCAACACATCCTCATTATAACCCCTAAGTGTGAAAGAACATGAAAATGTAATGTCCAATACAAAATTATTGAATTTTTATTTTGTTTTTATTATTGATTTAATTAATACTTTTGCCTGAATGTGGAATTCTTAAAGTATAGTCTTCTTTTTATTTCAGTTCTAAGTATAATCAGTATTACTTAGTATCATAGTATGGTTACTATTGCAAGATGTAAATAAAAATAGAAGGTCCTTTTTATATTTGTTCTTAGCTTTGTGAATAGACTTTGATGGCATCTAAGTTTTGGTGCATCTTACAAGTCTGATTTGAACCTGTTTCCATATAATAAGTAAACAGATGTAAAATAATCTGTTTTTTCCCCCAACAAAGCACACATAGACTTTGAGAGATTGAAATATTTTTTTTTTTCTGAAGTCAAAGCAATGTTCTAACAAAGGATGCTATCTCAGAAGTTTACAACTTGAGAAGTCAATAGGTTTTCCTTCAGCCTCTCACTGTTTATCACAGGCTGTTGTGCTATAATCTTCCTGTCAGTTTATCAACTTTGCTACTCTGCTTTTACATTGTGTGACTCAACAATTAAGGTAACATCAACACACATGGCCAACTATTTCAACTATTTTCCACCTTAAATATTTTCTGCAATCCAAAGTATACAAAATATAAGGACTTTATATCTTTTGGCTTCTCTAGTTTTATTAAAGTCAAAAAAGCAGAGATATTGTATGGAATTAAATCAACAAGCTTTCCATTTAATTCATTTATTCATTTAATAAATATTGATTGAGAGTAAGCTATATATGGCAAGTATTATGCAAGGTATTTGGATACATTGGTGAATTAGGCAGGCTTATTCATAATCTCATGCTATTTATGGTCTTGTCAATAGCGTTTACTGTGTAATTTACTTTACACTGGACAGTGTACTAAGAGTGTCTATGAGAAAGCACCAATAGTCCTTGAGTACTTTTGAAACTAAAGAAGAAAGATTATCATTAGAGGCAATTTGGAAAATAATCAGTGTATTGGAGGTAACTGAATTCATAGGCATAATGAGGCCACTGAAATAATTTAGTAAATTTTCAGGGGTTACACAAATGTTAGGTAGCATATTTTCTTAATCTGTGTGTGTGTGTGTGTGTGTGTGTAATTTTGCATATGAGAACCTGGCAAATTGTAAAAAGTGAATTCAGTTTATATTATGTTATATTAGTAAGAGCTTTTAAAATTTATTTATGTATGTTCTATGTCTAACAAAAGTATTAAAAAATAATTGATGATTGGAGAGCAAAATAGACAAAGGCTATTCAGGAAAGTGTTGATTATTTAGTTATCACACCTGAAATTTTCTCAGCTTGAAAAGAAAATAAATCAGTTTATTTCCTAATTTACATTTTCTTTTTTAAAAAATTAAATTAAATTTAATTTTAAATTCCGAGATACATGTGCAGGATGTGCAGGTTTCTTACAAAGGTAAACCTGTGCCAAGAAACATGAAAAAAAGCTCATCATCACTGGTCATTAGAGAAATGCAAATCAAAACCACAATGAGATACCATCTCATGCCAGTCAGAATGGCAATTATTAAAATGTCAGGAAACAACAGATGCTGGCAAGGCTGTGGAGAAATAGGAACCCTTTTACACTGTTGGTGGGAGTGTAAATTAGTTCAACAATTGTGGAAGACAGTGTGGCAATGTCTCAAAGAGCTAGAACCAGAAATACCATTTGACCCAGCAATCCCACTACTGGGTATATACCCAAAATAATATAAATCATTCTATTATAAAGATGCATGTATGCATATGTTCATTGCAGCACTATTCACAAGGGCAAATACATGGAATCAACTCAAATGCCCATTAATGGTAGGCTAAATGAAGAAAATGTGGTACATAGACACAATGGAATACTATGCAGCCATAAAAATGAATGAGATCATGTCCTTTGCAAGAACATGGATGAGCTGGAAGCCATTATCCTCAGCATACTAACAGAGGAACACAAAATCAAACACCACATGGTCTCACTTATAAGTGGGAGTTGAATGAGGAGAACAAATAGGTGCAGTAAACCTCCTAATCTACATTTTCTAAATACTGACTAATCTCAAGACTACTTGAAAGCAGGGAAATTCAGCACTGTTAACATTTTGGACTGGATGACTCTTCGTTGTGGGGGTCTGTCCTGTGCCTCATAGGATGGTTAGTAACATTCCTGGCCTCCACCTGCTATGTTCCAACAACTTCAGCTCCCTTCTCGAACTGCAGACCTTGCCAAATGAACCCTGTAGGGCATGCAAAATTACCCATGGTTGATAATCAATAACTTAGAAAACCTGTCAGCAGAAAATGGTGTTGATAACAGTTATTTTGTCCTATTTTATCTTTTGTTTTCACAATTCAAATAAAATATGAAATGACCTTTAAAAAATTTAGTTATGATGTGCATTGAACTCACTTATTGGTTGCAAAGTGGATTATTACATTTTTATAAGGTATTTTTAATATTAAATATGACATAAAAATTCTATTTTTAGCTTTGCTAAAAAGGTGACATTGAGAAACCTTACATGAAATATATGATGTCTTAAGAAATATAGACAAATTTGAAGAAGCCAAGTTCAAAGGAAAATTTTAAAATAGGGTAAAAGGGAAGTAAACTGAAAGCAGGAAGTTCTGATTTTTCTATAAATATGGCAATGGTGTTTTCCTTCTACAAATAAGCTTTGAAAAATAAAGGAAAGCTCATAAGCATGCTTGAGACAGAATGTAATTTTAAAAAATCTCAACACAAAAAAGTTAATAAAATGTTTGCGGAATCTCATCAAAACCAGTGTATAGTTTTCTGAGAGTTATGCTGATTATTGTTCTTGCTCTCCAGACTTATGTTCAATGCATTTGCATAAAATGTTATGGTGATAATATATATTTTCCATCTATAAACAATCATCACTATGTCCTTAACTCTCTCTTGTATGTGCAAGAACTTATAAAAATGCTTCTACAAATTTTTATTCTGTCGTCAACATGAAAATAGAATTAACTTGCTTTGGGGCATTCCTGGTTCAATTTCAATCCTATGAAAATAAGGTAAAAAAGAAAGGAATTGAAGAGAAAAGAAAACGTTTATCTCTATATGTTTCAATTGTCTCATCTGCCTAATGAGGATATTGCATTTGATAAAACTACTGAAAATAAAATTTCATGAAATGCAGTATATAGTTAATACTGTTTTTAAAAAACTAACAGTATTTTGCCGGTATCAAAACTTACATGAAATGTAAGTTGGCCTTCCAACTTACATGAAACATGTTCGTTTGTGCCGGCAACTTGAGTATTGTCTCATTCAGGCATTTTTATGTTAATAAAATTTATTGTTACAGACTTGTGTATGGCTCCAGGAACTGCGTTAAATGTTTTGTTTTCATTAACAACTAATATTTTGTTAATACTTTTAATACTTTTGTAGGTATGTTTCCATGCTCTCTTATGTTTGTGATGCTTTGCAAATGTCACATGGAAAAATGTTGGTATTATTGGAACTAAGTTAGTTTAGAATAATAACCAGTTGCCTTGTTGCAATTAATTGTAGTTGCTGATCTTACTATATCTAAGAATTGACCATTTAGCTCATATCTAAGGAAGTACCTGTAAATCAATAGTTTTCTGTGCAATAATTATGAATATACTCTTACAGATGTAAGCATTTTTAAAATGACAAAATGTAAAGTTAGTTAAAGACTCTTTTATGATATGTACAGCCTTCTTGCTATGTATCCCTTAATATGTTTTTATTTCCATTTCAGTTACTTCATTATCCTTCAGCCAAAAAATATTATCTCTTACACCACAAATATTATCTCTAAATTATTCAGATTTTAACATCAATGTCTTTTGAAACCAAGATATTCATTCATTTCAGTAAATAACTTCAGCTTTTAAAAAAGTCGTACCACATTTTCAGATTCCTACAGAGATCCTGGAGTCCTTCTATTCTGTCAAAGTTCCAGAGAATGTCCTGGATTTCTGTCTACACATGGGATGCTAATTGCTCCTTTGAAAGCCAATGCTAAGTTTTCAGTTTCTATGATCTTCTTGAGAGAATGGGAACCTGCCCAATGTCCAGTCTCCCTAGGCAACAAGTGGGTATATTCCTTCCTAGGATATACCACCTGCCAGGTGCAATTGCCAATATGATGTGTGGCCAAAAATCTTGTGAAAATTTGTAATAAAATGTAACTGGCTAAAAGAAAATTTGTTAAGTTGAATGATTATTAAATTTAAAGGCTTTCCTATTTACAAAATACATATTTTAAGTATTTATGCAGTTTACAACAAATTATATAGAATGGGGTAATTTTAGTAGCTTCTGAGTCTTCCTCCTGAATTGCAGATGGTCAATTTAGAGTTTCAGTGTAGTTTAATTTTAATTGTAATTTTTTTAAATTTGCCTGAAGCAGTTTTATGACACCAATTCCACTGTGGACAAAATATAGCATACTTTTGAGTTTCTCTAGACATTGGTTTGATGATATTTGGTAATGCATTTGTTGTATGTTTTGATTTTCAAGTGTTTCCAATGGTTGGATGTCAATGCTTTTATAAATCATGAAATGCTCCTAATTTAAACACATTTTCAATCCCAGTCCAGAAATGTAACTAACTTGATCAGATGTTCATTTTGTGTATTTTGGGGAAAAATGAGATGTTCAGTGTCTGAAATGTGAATAGATATACACTGGCATACAATTCAGCTATCCCTCAAAACCATAGCTAATCAGCTAAATCAAAGGCCTGGGATTTTGAAAGAATCACATTAAAATTAAAACTGAATTGAATTGAACTTCAAAAATATTCAAAGGTGGTTGAAACCATCCCGTGCTGTACAATTTGCTTAAAAACTTTGTAAATATTTAACAAGAACATGTTTTTGATAACATGGAACTTGGCAAGCATAATGGGTTGTTTTAGGTGAATTAATTCACAGTCAAATGGATTCCAAAGTGTAAGGGGCTTCCCTAATGGGACACCAAGCAAAGGCTCATAAATAAGCTCAAGCTTTCATATTCATACAAAAATGAGGCTTGTTTTCAATAGTTTCCTCTATCTGTCTTGCTAAAGTATTTTAGGCAAGGACATAAGAAAGCCTGAGGCTTCCTTTGGTATGGAAGATAAGAGGAAAGTACTTATTAAATATGGAAAGCAAGTAAGTATTATATTGTATTGTTTTTTCCTTCAGAATTTAATGAAATTATATATAATGCATTTGTAACAGGTTATACATACTAGAGTAATTATTTCCCTATCATACGATTGATGCTTTGTCCTTGTCTGTACTGTAAAATAATTGTCAGTGCTTTAGGGATAAAGAAATTGGTGTGTAAAACATTGTATTAGCTGGTTACCTATTCCACACAATTACACCTGTAAAATAGTTAAAGCATATTTACATTCTCTCAGTAATTAATTGTTACTAATGCATAACTGTTAGCTATTTTTACTGAAATGTTATATATAGTTTCCTTGCCAAAGGCCAAAAAAGGAAATAGTTTAGGAAAAATGACATTTGAGAGTATGACAAAAGGCCTAATCACATATGCATTTCACATCAAACTTGTGTCTTGCTACCTCCACAACTGCAACCATTTAAAACAGAGGGTGAACTCCTTTCTTTTGTATTCTTCAGACCTCTTTATTAGGAGCCTTGAAAGAATGTATTTGAGTCTCTCAGATTACAATACATTTTTAACCCCAAACCAATGAATCACTCATATTTTCAACTTTATTTGTGATTTTAAATTAAGCACAGTGTAAATACGATCAATAAATTTGCTATACAGACTTACAGTATGCTTAGCGAGAATGAAAATTTGCTACTCAATATCATTGCCATTTTTTCTTTACTGTTCTTTGCTTCATGCATTTGCTATGCATTTTATTTTTTATTATTTATATTTTTGTATTTTTGCATTTTTTGATATACTTTAAGTTCTGGGATACATGTGCAGAATGTGCAGGTTTGTTACATAGGTAGGCACATGCCATGGTGGTTTGCTACCCCCTCAACCCGTCATCTGCATTAGGTGTTTCTCCTAATGCTATCCCTCCACTAGCCCCCAACCCCCCGACAGGCCCCGGTGTGTGATGTTCCCCGCCCTGTGTCCGTGTGTTCTAATTGTTCAACTCCCACTTATGAGTCAGAACATGTGGTGTTTGGTTTCCTGTTCCTGTGTTACTTTGCTAAGAATGGTGGTTTCCAGCTTCATCCATGTTCCGGGAAAGGACATGAACTCATCCTTTTTTATGGCTGCATAGTATTCCATGGTGTATATGTGCCACATTTTCTTTATCCAGTCTATCATTGATGGGCATTTGGGTTGGTTCCAAGTCTTTGATATTGTGAATAGAGCTGCAAAAAACATATGTGTGCATGTGTCTTTACAGTAGAATGATTTATAATCCTTTGGGTATATAATCCTTTGGGTAATGGAATTGCTGGGTCAAATGGTATTTCTGGTTCTAGATCCTTGAGGAATTACCATACTGTCTTCCACAATGGTTGAACTAATTTACACTCCTACCAACAGTATAAAAGTGTTCCTATTTCTCCACATCCTCTCCAGCATCTGTTGTTTCCTGACTTTTTAATGATCACCATTCTAACTGGTGTGAGATGGTATCTCATTATGGTTTTGATTTGCATTTCTCTAATGACTAGTGATGATGAGCTTTTTTTCATATGTTTCTTGGCAGCATAAATGTCGTCTTTTGAGAAGTGTTTGTTCATATCCTTCGTCCACTTTTTGATGGGGTTGTTTTGCTCTTGTAACTTTGTTTAAGTTCCTTGTAGATTCTAGATATTAGCCCTTTGTCAGATGGATAGATTGCAAAAATTTTCTCCCATTCTGTAGGTTGCCTGTTTACTCTGATGATAGTTTCTTTTGCTGTGCAGAAGCTCTTTAGTTGAATTAGATCCCATTAGTCAATTTTGGCTTTTGTTGCCATTGCTTTTGTTGTTTTAGTCATGAATTACTTGCCTATGCCTATGTCCTGAATGGTATTGCCTAGGTTTTCTTCTAGGGTTTTTATGGTTTTAGGTCTTACATTTAAGTCTTTAATCTATCTTGAGTTAATTTTTGTATAAGGTGTAAGGAAGGGGTCCAGTTTCAGTTTTCTGCATATGGCTAGCCAGTTTTTACAACACCATTTAATAAATAGGGAATCCTTTCCCCATTGCTTGTTTTTGTCAGGTTTGTCAAAGATCAGATGGTTGTAGATGTGTGGTTTTATTTCTGAGGCCTCTGTTCTGTTCCCTTGGTCTATATATCTGCTTTGGTACCAGTACCATGCTGTTTTGGTTACAGTAGCCTTGTAGTAGAGTATGAAGGCAGGTAGCATAATGCCTCTAGCTTTATTATTTTTACTTAGGATTGTCTTAACTATACAGGCTCATTTTGTTTCCATATGCAATTTAAAGTAGTTTTTTTCTAATTCTGTGAAGAAACTCAGTGGTAGCTTGATGGGGATAGCATTGAATCTATATATTACTTTGGGCCGTATGGACATTTTTGCATTATTGATTCTTCCTATTCATGAACATGGAATGTTTTTCCATTTGTTTGTGTCCTTATTTCCTTGAGCAGTGGTTTGTAGGTCTCCTTGAAGAGGTCCTTCACATTCCTTGTAAATTGTATTCCTAGCTATTCTATTCTCTTTGTGGCAATTGTGAATGGAGTTCACTCATGATTTGGCTCTCTGTTTGTCTGTTATTGATGTATAGGAATGCTTGTAATTTTTGCACGTTGATTTTGTATCCTGAGACTTTGCTGAAGTTACTTATCAGCTTAAAGAGATTTTGGGCTGAGACAATGGGGTTTTCTAAATATAAAATCATGTCAAATGCAAACTGAGGCAATTTGACTTCGTCTCTTCCTATTTGAATATGCTTTATTTGTTTCTCTTGCCTGATTGCCCTGGCCAGAACTTCCAATACTCTGTTGAATAGGAGTGGTTAGAGAGGGTACTCTTGTCTTGTGCCGGTTTTCAAAGGAAATACTTCCAACTTTTGCCCATTCAGTATGGCTGTGGGTTTGTTATAAATAGCTCTTATTATTTTGAGATACTTCCATCAATACCTAGTTTATTGAGACTTTTTAGCATGAAGGGTGTTGAATTTTATTGAAGGCCTTTTCAGCATCTATTGAGATAATCATGTGGTTTTTGTCATTGGTTCTGTTTGTATGATGGATTATGTTTATTGATTTGTGTATGTTGAACCAGCCTTGCATCCTAGGGATGAAGCTGACTTGATCGTGGTGGATAAGCTTTCTGATGTGCTGCTGGATTCGGTTTGCCAGTATTTTATTGAGGATTTTCACATTGATGTTCATCAGCGATATTGGCCTGAAATTTTTTGTTGTTGTGGGTCTGCCAGGTTTTGGTATCGGGATGGTGCTGGTTTCATAAAATTAGTTAGGGAGAAGTCCTTCTTTTTCTATTGTTTGGAATACTTTCAGAAGGAATGGTACCAGCTCCTCTTTGTACCTCTGCTAGAATCCATCTCGTCCTAGGCTTTTTTTGGTTGGTAGGCTATTAATTACTCCATCATTTTCAGAACTTGTTTTTGGGCTATTCAGGGATTAGACTTCTTCCTGGTTTAGTTTTGGGGTGGAGTTGTATGTGTCCAAGAATTTATCCATTTCTTCTAGACTTTCTAGTTTATTTGCATAGAGGTGTTTACAGTATTCCCTGATGGTAGTTTGTATTTCTGTGGGATCAGTGGTGATCTCCCCTTTATCATTTTTTATTATGTCTATTTTATTCTTCTCTCTTTTCTTCTTTATTAGTCTGGCTAGCTTTCTATCTATTTTGCTAATCTTTTCAAAAAACCAGCTCCTGAATTCATTGATTTTTTGAAGGGTTTTTCATGTCTCTATCTCCTTCAGTTCTGCTCTGATCGTAGTTATTTCTTGTCTTCAGCTAGCTTTTGAATTTGTTTGCTCTTGCTTCTATAGTTCTTTTAATTGTGATGTTAGGGTGTTGATTTTAGATCTTTCTCACTTTCTTCTGTGGGTATTTAGTGAAATAAATTTCACTCTAAACACTGCTTTAGCTGGGTCCCAGTGATTCTGGTACGTTGTGTCTTTGTTCTCATTGGTTTCAGAGAACTTCTTAATTTCTCCCTTAATTTAATTATTTACTGAGTAGTCATTCGGGAGCAGGTTGTTCAGTCTCCATGTAGTTGTGCGGTTTTGAATGAGTTTCTTAATCCTGAGTTCTAATTCGATTGCACTGTGGTCTGAGAGACTGTTTGTTATTATTTCTGTCCTTTTGCATTTGCTGAGGAGAAAGGCAGCAATATTTGTCATTCTGCAGCCTCTGCTGATGATACCCAGGCAAACAGGGTCTGGAGTGGACCTCCAGCAAACTCCAGCAGACCTCCAGCAGACAGGCCTGACTAACAAACAGAAAGGAATAGTATCAACATCAACAAAAAGGATGTCCAGGCAAAAACCTCATCCAAAAGTCACCAGCATCAAAGACAAAAGGTAGATAAATCCATGAAGGTGAGGAAAAACCAGCACAAAAAAGGCAGAAAATTCCAAAAGCCTCATTTCTTTTCCTCCAGAGGATCAAAACTCCTCACCAGCAAGGGAACAAAACTGGACTGAGAATGAGTTTGATGAATTGACAGAAGTAGGCTTCGGAAGGTGGGTAGGAACCAACTCCTCAAGCTAAAGGAGCATGTTCTGACTCAATGCAAGGAAGCTAAGAACTTTGAAAAAAGGTTAGAGGAATTGCTAACTAAAATAACCAGTTTCAAGAAGAACATAGATGACCTGATGGAGCTGAAAAATACAGCACGAGAACTTTGTGAAGCATACAAAAGTATCAATAGTCGAATCGATCCATCAGAAGAAAGGATGTCAGAGATTGAAGATCAACTTAATGAAATAAAGTGTGAAGACAAGATTAGAGAAAAAAGAATAAAAAGTAATTAACAAAGCCTCCAAGAAATATGGGACTATGTGAAACGACCAAATGTACGTTTGATTGGTGTACCTGAAAGTGACAGGGAGAATGGAACCAAGTTGGAAAACACTCTTCAGGATATTATCCAGGAGAACTTCCCCAGCCTAGCAAGACAGGCCAACATTCAAATTCAGGAAATACAGAGAACAACACAAAGATACTCCACGAGAAGAGCAACCTCAAGACACATAATCGTCAGATTCACCAAAGTTGAAATGACGGAAAAAATGTTAAGGACAGCCAGAGAGAAAGGTCGGGTTACCCACAAAGGGAAGCCCATCAGACTAACAGCGAATCTCTCTGCAGAAACCCTACAAGCCAGAAGAGAGTGGGGGCCAATATTCAACATTCTTAAAGAAAAGAATTTTCAACCCAGAATTTCATATCCAGCCAAACTAAACATCATAAGTGAAGGAGAAATAAAATCCTTTACAGACAAGAAAAACCTGAGAGATTTTGTCACCACCAGGCCTGCCTTACAAGGGCTCCTAAAGGAAGCACTAAATATGGAAAGGAAAAACCGGTACCAGCCACTGAAAAAACATACCAAATTGTAAAGGCCATCAACACTATGAAGAAACTCCATCAACTGGCATGCAAAATAACCAGTTAGCATCATGACAGGACCAAATTCACACATAACAATATTAACCTTAAATGTAATCAGGCTAAATGCCCCAATTAAAAGACACAGACTGGCAAATTAGATAAAGAGTCAAACCCACTTTTGTGCTGTATTCAGGAGATCCATCTAACATGCAAAGACACACATAGGCTCAAAATAAAGGGATGGAGGAATATTTACCAAGCAAATGGAAAGCAAAAAAAGCAGGGGTTGTAATCTTAGTCTCTGATAAAACAGACTTTAAACCAACAAAGACCAAAAAAAGACAAAGTAGGGCATTACATAATGGTAAAGGAATCAATGCTACAAGAAGAGCTAACTATCCTAAATATACATGCACCCAATACAGGAGTACCCCGATTCATAAAGCAAATTCTTAGAGACCTACAATGAGGCTTGGACTCCAACACAATAATAGTGGGAGACTTTAACCTCCCCACTGTCAATATTAGACAGATCAACGAGACAGAAAATTAACCAGGATATTCAGGACTTGAACTCAGCTCTGGACCAAGCGGACCTAATAGGCATGTACAGAACTCTCCACCCCAAATCAACAGAATATACATTCTTCTCAGCACCACATCACACTTATGCTAAAATTGACCACATAATTGCTATGCATTTTCTAAATCAACTGCTCCTAAAACTGTCACTGAAGCATTCCCTAGATGCACTGAGGTGATCTCGGTTTAACTTGTACCTATTTTGCCTGCTGCCTGACACCTCAGGCTTTATTGTGAATTCTGCTCCAGTGCCTCAGTTCCGTCGCACTAGTTGCTGACACCATCGTTGATGTGCAGCAAGCTTTACTGCATTCTCAATGCTTTTGTTATTTGTCTTCACTGTAGATTTCCAGGAAATGTTCTTATAGAAGTTAAGCATAACTCTTCTTCAGCTGATTTAGGGTTTTATCTGAGACTTTGTCTAAATTTTATCTTGTTTGGACACCAAACTTTAGAAAGGGAATCCATGCGTTGAATAGAAGGGTGAATAAAATAGACATAGATATTTCTTCCAATTGAGAATCTATCTAATTCTGATTAATCGCTACCTCTCAAGCCTTATTTTTTTCTGCTTTATATCAAAGGAGAATGGGTAGGGAAGGTTTTCTTCTGTTAAAATTACAACATATATTAATATTTTATCTTATCTGTTATATGTTTTTCAAAATATTTTAATCAACATACATGTTTCTTTTATCATTTATCTTTATTCTGAAGCCAATTATATTAAGCTTTATGAAATACCCGCCATTCAAGATAAAAAAAATTTATTTAAATAAATAAAGAAGGGATAATTATCCAGGCGTAATAGGAACACTGCGAGAATAGGTATATAGTACAATTTTATTAAATTGAATACATAATGACTCATTTGCATCATTAGTTTCAGTTGCCTTGAAAAACAGTAATGAAAAGTCTGATTAGAAAAATTATAATAGTGAGCGAGGCAGCAGGACAATACACAGTACAGGTGCATGGATCTATATTTTAGGATCAGGGATTGATGTAGAATAATTGGGGACAAAACCTAGACTTTAAGAATGATTTAGCATCGCCCAGTCACCGTGGCTCACGCCTGTAATCCCAGCACTTTGGGAGGCCAAGGCAGTCAGGTCACCTGAAGTCGGGAGTTCGAGACCAGCCTGACCAACATGGAGAAACCCCCTCTCTGCTAAAAATACAAAATTAGCTGGGCATGGTGGTGCATGCCTGTAATCCCAGCTACTCAGGAGGATGAGGCAGGTGAATCACTCGAATCCAGGATGCAGAGGTTGCAGTGAGCTGAGATCGTGCCACTGCACTCCAGCCTGGACAACAAGAGCAAAACTCTGTCTCAAAAAAAAAAAAAAAAAAAAAAAAAGAAAAGAAAAGGAAAGAAAGAATAAAAAAAGATTTAGGATCACAGAAAACAAAAGAAAAAAATATTCCAGAGATGTAAAGAGTTTAGAATACATGTCAACCCTCAGAAACTAAGCCTTGGATGCTTCTTAAAGCCTTTGATGTACCCACTTCCATGCAAAGTATACATACACTCCTCCTCCCACACACAAGTGATGGGCATCTGCCATTTAAAATGTATACCTAAGTAACCCTGACATTGTAATCCAGGGAAATGTTCCTGTTTCTCAGTCCTGTGTGATATTGGACAGATGTCTCTATAAAACAAACAAAACCTTTTAAATATGTATATTTCTAATTCTATAATTCAAAGGCAAAATTAAATTAATTATGTTATTTGGCCCATACCTCATAAGAACTAACAAACTAAACAAGGAACTACTCCCTTTCTGGCCCACTTCTTTAGCCCTATCCCCACCACGATCCTCTTCAAACACACCATACATCAGAGACATTCACGTTAATGTGTGTGTGTGTGTGTGTGTATATCTATATGCTTCTCTGAAATTGTATTATATGGTTTCATGGATGTATCTGTTTTTATTACACAAGTTATATTTTTGTATAAGCCTCATTGAATTTTAATTTTTCTTGCTCAGTAGTGTGTATTAAGAGCAATGCATATATGCGTGGCATTCTGTTACAAAAATCTACTCCATTTTGTTTACTGTGTTTATTCTTGGTTGCCAACAGCCTTCAAATGCTACATAAAAACACAAGCGAATACTGGATTTCCCTGTCCATTTCTCCTTTGCTTGTTATTTGGAGAGCAGTACGATCGCCTTATTGAACTTATGAATAGAGAGGTGACAACATTCATTATCAGAGACAGCATTTCAATTCTGCAGAAACTAACACTGACTCAAAGAAATTGTTGATGTCATTGGGTGTCTGCGTGCCACTTCTTCAAAAGGATATCACATTTTTTCTCTCTCTCTCTGTCTTTTCTAAAATCTAGATGTTGTGGTTAGATTTTCAAGAAGAGGGTTATACTTCACCAGACAATGAGAGGATTTTAAAACCAACACTCTTTGGGACCTATCTTAGACACTGCTTATGATATCCTTGGTTACATACATATTTTTAGTTATCCTTTTACATAAAGCTTTTCTTGTTTAAGTGTTAAGTTGTCAGAATTGTTACTTTTCTCTCTGGAAAAAAGACATCAAATGAAATTAAAACCCATGTATATTTGGAAAAATATATTTTGATAAGGTTAGCTGCTGTCCAAAAGAAAATCCAAAATAAAATTGGCTTAAACAAGAGACAAGCTTATTCATCTCTTAGGAAGATCTTATCTTGCTGTTCTACCACTCTGGCTCTACGTCTGAATCTTAAGCAGGAAGAATGGGTAAAGAAAGGGATAAATGGACCCCTTGAGTCATGTTTTGAAGTTTCCAGGAAGTTCAGCTTACATTTTCTCATTCAGCACTTCTTCATTTGGCCATGCAATATGACTCAAAAAGGCTAGTCTTTATTATAGGCAGTAGTGTGCAGAGATGATAATTTGGGAGACTATTTGCTGTCACAGAGATAGACTGTTTCCTGAAAATATGGCCCATCTCTGTAATTCTTTGTATCATGGTATGTCCTTTGCTTCTTTGAGTCAAACTAGTTACTTTATCTAGTATTGCTTTAAGCTTCAGAATGAGCACTTCAACTGTAGATATTTTTTGTCTGCAGCTTTTTTTTTTAGCTATGTCAAGGATAGTTCTCTCATCATTCGCTATGCTTCTTGTCTTCACTCCTTTTCAGATGACTTATGCTCAGCATCAGTGCTGTTGGCAGCCAAAAATGTATTTTTGAGGTTTTGGATTATATTTATCTCCAAGATTCTCTAAAAATGCATTTTCTGAATTATTTAAAAATTATTTTTTTGCTTTTGTATGATATCCAAAAGGAGAAAGAGGAAATGCTAAAATACACTGACTTGTTCAAAGCAGATGTTCTTATAAGTAGTTTAATTTTTTTCTAGTAGAGGAAAATACAGATAATAGAAGCAAATTTAATTCAACTTGGAAAGATGAAGTAATTAACAAGAATATATGTTAGTTTTCTTCTAGATGAAGCATATAGGTATATAGAAAATAACGTTATTTTAATTCTGGTCATAAGAGAAGGGATATAGTAAATGGGAAAGAGAATGTGCTTGGTTTACCGATATTTATTTCAATACACACCTCAATAATTAATAACTGTGTGCCTTTTGGAAAATTCTTAATTTATAATTTTTGGTTTCTGACATTTTAAAATAAACAATATTATCCTGCCTTTTTACAGAGTTGTTATTGCCTGGTGCATTCATCTATAAATCTAAAAGTCATACCATTATTTAAGCCAGCTGTTTCAGGTCATGGAGTACAAAGAAGTCCAATAAATTGCATATGTGTGAGGTGCTTATAGCATAAACATTGTGGACAACAAAGATAAACCTATATGCAGTATGAGGATCTATTTCAGTGAGACTAATGTACTGCCCATTCTGTGATGGGGTGTCTCATTCAATTTACCCACCACCAGGTAACTGACTGGTCAACTTAGATATGATATCATTTGGAGAGCTTACTGTTGGTCTCTGCTTTAGGCAGGTGGATGCTATCTGTAGCTGGATTCAAATCAGCTTTGGTGAGTCAAAGTCCAGATTGCTGACCCCAGGCATTCTTATCACTGCTGCTATGAGCACTTAGTTTATGAACCCAACAGGAAAGCATAGATATAGCTAAAGGGAAATATTTCCTGTTATCCTTAGAATGGGTCAACTTTCCCATCTAATTATTATAATTCTCCCTTTCTAAATTGCATTTTCATGAAGTTTCTTATGGGACACAAGTATCTTCATACCCAGGGCCATTCAGAAATGTTTTCCTATGCACCACATTTCTTTGTCACAGTTTTTCCCTTTTCTTCTTTTCAAATCGATAACATTCAGCCAAATCAGCAACCACTGTCCATGAATGAAGAAAGATCCATGCTTCTGGCTATCTTTCCTACTACACAACATTAAAAACCAGGTATACTGTTTGAAGGTGAGGATTTTCCTTAATTAACATAATAACCTTTTAGTATCACCTTTCTGGAAGTGATCCCAGAGTAACTCCATTGTAATGCTGCACCTGTGTATAGTGCCAGTGTATTGTGTAAAAACATTTGTAAACAGCCCCCATTGCTTTTCATTAGCTGCTATATATATAGGGAATTCCCCTAAAAGACCATACATGTGGGTTGAGGGAGTGGGGGCAATGTAATACCATTCCACCATAGATACTAGAAGCACCATGTAATCTGCTAAGTTATATGATGCAAGTATGACAACCTGGACATATTGCAAAGCATTGTCTTGTTTTATGACCTGCTCAAAATTGTGAGCTTTGTTTTGGTTACTCAGCAAACTAGTCAGGATAGCATGCACAGATGGAAGTACATATTGCCTCCAAGTTCCAAAGAGGTCCTCTTCCTTAGTGGTTGGAGATGCCTGAAGTATGTTGTCATTCAACTTGAAAGTGATCTCAAAACATTTTTCAAACCTGTAATTTTTAAGGGATTTGTTTTCCATCTTTTGATATGTATATATTTTAACAAGATGTCTATAATAGTGATTGCATCTGAATTAATCAGGCCTAATCAGCATGATTATTATTGATGAAATAAATCAATGTAATATACCATTCTGGGGGAATGGAGGGATGATTATGTTTGCTCCAAGTGATGTAGGATTAGACAGTTTCATAGCTAGGGCAGAGAGCACATATTACTAGCAAGTTCAGCTGAAAGTAAAGTGCTTTTATGGCATTTACTATAAATATAGAGAAGAAAAAATATTTTCAGGATCAATAGACACATACGAGGTGCTGGCTGAGGGATTTGTTAATTTATTCCAGCTATGAAACTTCATCTATAAAAGCAGCTGCAGTTGGGAGTCAACATGTAATTGAGATGACGACAATCCATCCTTATTCTCCAAATCTATCTGGATTGTGTATGACCCTAATAGGCAAATTGAATAACAATGTAGCATGAATCAATATCCTTGCATTTTTCAAGTCTTTCAGAGTGGCACAAATCTCTACAATTCTCTCATGATTTATTTTGAATTACTCTATTGGTAGATAGAGTCAGTTCTAGTGGTTTTCAGTTGACCTTTCTTATTATAAGAGCCCAGGTGATGAATGTGGGAACTCTGCCAGTGGCTAAGTGTGACTATTCCAATTATAGGAAATAATCACCAGGGATGTTTATCTCAGTAGGCCCTTTGTAAAATGGACACAAGCCAAAACTCCATTGCTTATTTGACCTCCATAACCCCCTAATCTTGATGGCGAACAGCAAAATGGCATTTCAGGTCTCTAGCATTAAGGTCATTTCAGAGACAGAGTTCAGTAACCCCTTAAATATCTAATCATTTCCTCTTTTCCAATCCAAAATCACCGTGGTAAATGGCCACAGGTAATTTGGGGAAAAGCAGAAACAAATTTTGCGTAGTCATTTTTGGATATAGGGAAGGATTCTTCCTTGAATGAACCTTGCCTCTTATTCAATCAAAAGACTGTGGGTTGAACTCACTGAAGTCTGGGAATTGGTACAGGGGTTGTGATTTGTATTATAGTGACTTAAACAATTACATTCAACAAATCTGGAGTTGGATTACTCATACAAGTTTAGCAGGATATCCATATATTTCATTTTAGTGATGCAGTAATCAACTGGCCAATGCCAAAAATCTCTGCAGGTTAGACTATTCTGATTACTGTGTTGGCTTGTCACTGATTATGGCAAACATGCATCCTTTCTCTTTGGCAATTAAAACTCACAATTTGCACCAGATCCCTTTACTCCCTTGAAGATTTGGAGAGCTCATTTTAATAGAAGTAGTTCTGACTACCATTTCTGGCTTGTAAAGAATAGTCATCACAGGACTTTTAAAGCATGGAGAGATTCCATTCATAAATGTATTTCTGTAAACTTATGAAGGACTGTCCTTTATAACTTCCATAAGTTGCTGTTCATTTTATATGATAAATCTACTAATGCATTCCAATCTCCATCAACACTTGGATGCCTTAATCTACAGGCATTCATTATGCCTTCGGCATAATAAAGAAGTTCTGGTATGTCCCCTTCATTTAGTGTAATGCACATTTAGGCCCAAATCAATCAACAAAGAAAAATATAGCTACTCACATCTAACTGAATTAAGACATAAATTAATAGATTGTATCTATTGAATATTGATATGAATATTGAATGTGAAATACTTACTTATGGAGTCTCAATTCAGCCTGATCAAACAAAATATTTGTTAACCCAGTTCTAAGAACTTTAGTATTAATTACAATATATGATCCCCAGGTTTCTATGTAAATTTTTTAAATCATAAAAGTTTTTTATGTGTATCACACCTTTCCATGGGTCATACTGTGTACCTTATTTTCTGGGATTTCTTGAGACTTAAGTCTAGTTATATATTGAGGAGTAATAAGGGATAAAGAGGTACATTTCAGAAGGATCAGCAGTCCCTTGGAATAGCAGGACCACAGGGGAGCACACCAAAGTTTCTTCAGGCAAAAGTAGATGAAGTCTTCAGACAGAGAGGAAAAAGTACTCCCACTGGTAAAGGAGATTCAACAAAATTTTAGGGATTCAAGATTTGAAAATATATGACTTTTACAATTTTCAGTGTCCTATTCCTTCCTAAACATTGGCTTTTTATCCCTACATAACAAGGATCTTCCTTTTTCCAGTTTACAATGTTACATCTTCTTCACTTCCTCACTTCCTTCCGGAGTCCTCCTGGGCAGCATCTTGCAAGTCCAAGTTTCTGCTAACAGTCTCTTCAAGAAAATTTAGCACTTCTCACTTAGACTCTTGAAAATCATTTTAGCCTCTGCTCACAGACTAATTCCAAAGCGTTTCCTACATTTATAGGCATTTATTATAGCAACACCCCCACTTCCAGGTAACACAATCTCTATTAATTTTCTATTGTTTCCTAACAAATTACCACAATGTTAGTGGCTTAATGCAATAACAATTTATTATCTAAAAATTTCTGTGGGTCCAGGACTCTGGGTACAGATTAGCTGGTTCCTTTGCTCAGAGTCTCATCAGGCTGAAATCAAGGTCTCAGTTGGGCCCGCATTCTCATCTGAGGACTGGAGCCTTCTCCTAAGCCTGTTTGGATTGCTGTCAAAATCGACTTCACTGTGGTTGTAGACCTGAGCTTCCTAATTTCTTTCTGGCTGTCAACCAGGAGCTGTTTCTAGTTTGCAGTTCCTGCTCTGTGACCCTCTCTACAAGACTGCAGTTTGCTTGTTCAAGGTCAGCAGGCAAAATGTCTTTCACCTTCTTTTAGAGAACCATCAAATTAGGCCAAGCCCACCAGTATAATCTACTTTTGATTACTTAAAAGTCTGTCTATTGTAGGAATGGTATCTCATTACAGTCACAACTTCTGCACACCTATCGGGAGAGGAGGCTATACAAGTTTTGAACACCAGGGGGCAGGAATTTGAGAGATTGTCTTGGAATTTTGCTTATGACACCCAGTGAATTTGGAAAACATCAACCCGATAGATGTGGTTGAGAACAAGGATAAACTAAAGCTGGAAAATGCAAACAAAAAACTTTGGGGACAAAATAAAATCTGTGCCTCTATCTCACTGTCTGCAACTATGGCTGTGGAGGCTCCGCAGGAGAGGTCAATATCTGCTGCCATGTAGCTCTACATATACCTAGCCCAGCATCAGAAAAGATGAAGGAATAGGTATGGTGGGAGCTAGAGTTGCTGCAGGTTCAGCTGATGCCCCACTTCAAAAACGTGACCAAACACATTAGTGACAACATGTGCAAGCTGCCATAGTGGATAACACCCTCCTTCAGTCTTCACAGTACAAAAATAAGACTGCCTTTATTTCTACCTCAAACTCTCAAAAAATTTGTCTGCTGGTCAATATTAACCAGAGGACATATAGTAAAAAAAATTCTGAGGATTGTGGATGCAGCTTAGCTAAATTGACATAGTAATTAACCACCACAATCAATAAGGCAGGAAGATAACTAAAGGGAGCCTATCTAGGTAGGGGCTTTTAGTACCAAGGTGTTTGAATAATTTCCTCTATAACACTAGATGTCTAATAATTTATGACCTCTCAACAAAGCAACGTATTTCCTATTATTTACAGAATTCAATATAGCCTATACAGCAAAAAGATAGATTTTTTTAAAAACCAAAATTGTGACTTTAGAGAGGATGGTATACTCATGAAGTTTTAGATGTTTTCCCGCTCTAAGAATCAAATTTATTATTTGTTGTAACAGCAAAGTGGTATCTCGCTGTATCCGAGTTTATCTGAAGAAAACTCAAAGCTATCTCCTGAAGTTACCATGTTATTTTATATCAACGTATTCGTGTATTATTAGTTTTAGTAAATTCAATTTGACAACCATTTTTATTACATGGTATGTTCTATGTATCAGTTATTTTGTTAAACCTGGGGGACACCATAACACAGCAGATAAGCCCACAATCTCAGTATGTAATTTTTTTTTAATCCTAATCAATTTTAACACTGAGAAAGCACAATATTGTAACTTCAAAATATTCATATAAAATTTTGTTGCTGATCTTTCTTAAAACATCACATTGCATTAGACAGAAAGATAAGTAAATATTTCCAAACATTGTATTTCAAAATATTTTCTTAAGATCAGATATGTAAATCATAGGCATTTTGAGTCTTCATTAGCTATCTCACTTTTCAAGGAAGAAAGACTGTTTATTGGCTTAAAAATGTAGTTTTGCAGGTCATTTTACTAATATAAAGCCAATTTTCATAATTCAATGTTTTGTAATTTTTTTATGTATATATGCATACTTGCATATTATACATATGTGTGTATGTATATATATGTTTTCATATAACATAATCTGTGGCATATAAGAATAAATTACAGAAAGTCATGCTAGAAGCAATTAACACTTTGATTATAAAATTTCAAGGTCCAGGTATTCTATGCCAGTACTTGATGCTTTGGTTAATTAATATGTATATAGAACAGAATTTGTCTGTTAGTGTGAGTGTGTTTTCACGTTTAAAGAGAATTTTAATATTTAAAGGGAGGCCTGGTGAAAACTATGGAAAATTTCTGTGAACGTTATAAATAAACTAGGTGGCAAAAACCGTGAAAATGAATAAAATACTTATACTTGTATATTAACAATTATGGTCTTTGGAGTGAGATCTTCCTGCACCACTATTGAGAATAATAGGTAGGGTTAAATGTGGAAAGCAAATCTAATGTGACTAGGCTAAAAAACTAAAAGTGAGATTAGCCAGACAATTTAAGCAGGTATTAATGCTGATAAAACATCAAAGAAACAACACAAGGGGAAATTCTCAGAAAATCAGCTCCCCTGCTTTGCTTTTTAAAGTCAGATTCCTATAAGGAACTCCTAAATTATTAGAAAGAAAGGCTGTGATAAATATATTTACCTGTCCCAAGAAATAATTTGCCTATCTGTAAGGAAAGTTTGCAGGCTTCTCAGAAAAATAGTATTCAGGAAGAATAAGTGCTTTTAACCCTTCATGAATACAATCTGAACGTCACAAATTTTATATACTTTCCTTCTTTAAAGATTAAAAAAATTTTTTTTCTAGTTATGTGTTTGCTGACATATCTTCTTTTTTTCAACATGTTTATGTTTCTCTTTTGTAGGGAACATGTTGACTCAGTTTTTGGATCCCATATTCTTTTGGTTTTTCCCATTTTCACCCTGACTTAAAGCAGTGATCAGAATATATCAAAAACTTAATAAATATTTCATTGAATTGAACATTGGCAGCCATGTTTTCATATTTGTGACAAACTATGTAGCTTCTAGCCTCAGCATCTATATACATATGAGAACAGATAATTGACTTTAAAATAACCTTACCCCCTACAAATCATTTAAATAATGAAGCTTCTCAAAGACTGCTAATCAAAGTACATGGAGAAGAGTCGTACATATTCATGAGTTGTTTAATATTGTTGTTAATAATTGCAGTACTCATTTTATATAAAAATTCAATCTTTTTTTCTATGTATCATTTGGTAAAGCTCTTTACTAAACAGAATGTAAATGATTATCAATTCTTTCTTGCTTTGATATACAGTCTGTGCCTCAAAGAGGATAAACCAAAGTATGCATACATCCTGAAAGCTGTGATATTGTGCAGAAATGATATGAATTTGAAAAATCATACAGATAGCATCATTCAAATAACTTGGGCTCTTCCTATTTCCTGAACTTTTTTCACTTGTAAGTCTTTGTAAATTCTACACACTCTTTGAATTGTCCCCAATTATTCACAAGCTATGCATGAATACCCATGTATCCAGGCTGAATACTGTAATTATCAGAACTGATTTTGATTGTGAAGTTATAACCACTTCATCTCTTCCTAATGTGAATCAGCCCTATAAGAAATGTTATGTGCTTTGTAAATGGTAATTAGGTAAATATGAAAAAAATGAGAATAACTTTTAAGGGGAAGATGCAATGGTTTCCTGGCTTAGCAAATTAGAAGGGTTGCTGCTTACAATTGAATGTTGATTGAAGGCGTCTTTCTTAAAAAGTAAAATATTTTAAGTCATTGTTGCTTTCTGAATCAAAACTGAGTTGCTCAACTTTTAAAAGCCAAGGCCTTAACCTCTTCCTATCTTAGGCTTAGTTACCTGTATATGAGTTTTTATATATAGACATCTGTATAAATCTATTTTTGAAAAGTAAGAAATGTGAAGGAATAGAGAGTAGCTAAATTAACATGGAGAAGGAACTTTGTAAGATGATTTGTAAAATTACAAAGAAAAAGGTTTTTGGAGAAAAATTTCTAATTTCAGCATGAAGATTCTGTTCTTTCTTCCTTCTGAAATTATTGTATATAATATTACCTGGTCCATCAATGGTGCCTCCACGTCTGATAAATATGATGTGTTTCTGATCTAGTAATATTGGTCCAGAGAGTGAATATTTTCACAGTGGCATAGATAAAGTTATGCTACAGAAAAGACAGCATTTTTTGGATCATCTTCCTAGAGTTAAGATATCATGTATCTGGTGAAACCACATCTCTACTAAAAATACAAAAATTAGCTGGGCATGGTCATGCGCGCCTGTAGTCCCAGCTACTCAGCTGAGGCAGGCGGATCACTTGAACCCGGGAGGTGGAGGTTGCAGTGAGTGGAGATCACGTCACTGCACTCCAACCTGGTGACAGAACAAGACTCCATCTCAGAAAAAAAAAAAAAAAATCATGTATCTAAAAATCAGTCATCACAGGACAATCAGGAAACAAACAGTAATTTACCTACTGTATAATTAGATTTGACTTCAGATAAATCTTAATTGAAGCCTTAGTCTCTAATGTGTAGGCTTGAATTGTAGATATTTTTCCCGGGTTTCGGATTAGGCCTGGTTTTGGATTAGGTAACATTCAAATCCTCTGAAAACAAAACAAAACAATAATAATAATGACAAATAGGACATAATCACATGGAACAAACAAAAACAATTTTAAACAGTGAAAATTTTCATAAAAATTTTAACTCTCAAAAGAGAGTTATATCTTGCATTATTTTGGTAGTGATATTTCCCTAATTCTTTGAGTAAATTTTACCTTGTTTTCATGAACAGCTTTGTGGAGATTATCCAAATCCATGCACTTTCTAATGAAAGATGGTTGTATCTGCTAAAAATAAAGATATTACCCTGATTCAGTTAAGCAATTTGCATATATCAATTTAAAGTTGTACTATGTTTTTCATCTAAAATATATTTAATCAATATCTTTCAATTTATCTAACAAAATTATTAACTTCAGTTTTCCTCCAATCCTGGAGAATCTCCTATTTAAGAAGTCACATAGGTGGATATCTTAGTATAGAAGATGAAGACATGTCATTACTAAAGCTACAATTAGGCTACTCTTTTTTAAAAAAAAGTCTGATTTCACATGAAACTACAGTATACAAGATTCAGCCACCCATTATATAAAACCGTGGCTTTGATGATGTCTGTCTCAGTTGAGTTTAAACAAAACAGTTAAGAGATTATTCTTCAAAAAGGAGAACATCAATTAGAGGCATACCTCAGTTTGTTGTGCTTCATGCTATTGTACTTCACAGACATTGAGCTTTTTACAAATTGAAGATTCATGGCAACCCTGTGTTGAGCAACTCTCTCAGTTCCATTTCTCCAATTGCATGTTCTCAGTTCATGTCTTTGTGTCACGTTTTGGTAATTCTTGCAATGTTTCAAACTTTATTATTATCATTATGTCTGTCATGTAATTAGTAATTACACTAACATGTAATTAGTGATCTTTGATGTACTATTGTCACTGTTTTGGAGCACTACAAACTGTGTTTATATATGATGGCAAACTTAATGGATATACAAATCACTTAATGATTTGTATATACTGACTGCTCTACTGATCATTGGTTCCCACTTCTCTCTCCCTCTCCTCAGGCTTCCCTATTCTTTGAGATATACAATATTAAAATTCTGCTAATTGATAACCCTACAATGGTCTCTAAGTGTTCAAGTAAAACAAAGTGTCACACATCCCTCACTTTAAACCAAAAGCTAGAAATAATCAAGCTCACTGAGGAAAGCTTAGGGTGAAAGCTAAGTCTCATGTGCCTAACAGCCAAGTTGTGAATGCAAAAGATAAGTTCTTGAAAGAAACTAAGAGTGCTACTCCAGAGAACTAATGAATGAAAAGAATGCAAAAATAGCCTTATTGCTCATATGGAGAAAGTTTTAGCAAGGTGGAAGATCAAGTCAGCCCCAACATTGCTTTAAATCAAAGCTTCATCTAGAACAAGGGCTTATCTCTCTTTATTCAATTCTATGAAGGCAGAGAGAAGTAAGAAAGCCACAGAAGAAAAGTTTGAAAATAGAAGAGGGTGAGATGGGAGGTGTAAGAAAAGAAGCCGTCGCCATAACATAAAAGTTGAAGCAGCAAGTGCTGATGTAGATGCCATAGCAAGTTATCCAGAAGATCTACCCAAGATAATTGGTGAAGGTGGCTACATTTAACAACAGATTTTCAATGTAGACAAAACAGCCTTCTTTTGGAAGTAGATGCCTTCTAGAACTTTCATAGCTAGATAGATGAAGTCAATGCCTGGCTTCAAAGCTTCAATGGACAGATTGATTCTCTCATTGGGAGCTAATGCAGCTGATGACTTTAATTTCAAGTCAATGTTCATTTACTATTCTGAAAATCCTGGGACTCTTAAGAATTGTGTGATATCTACTCTGCCTACGTTCTATAAATGGAACAGCAAAGCCTGAAAAACATCTTATCTTTTTAGATCATAGTTTACTGAATGCTTTACGCCTTCTGTTGAGACCTACTGCTAAGAAAACAAAAAAGGTTCCTTTCAAATATTATTGTGAATCAATAATGTACCTGGTCATCTGGGAGCTCTGATGGAGACATACAAGATTAATGTTGTTTTCATGCCTGCTAACATAACTTCCATTCTACAGTCCATGGATCAAAGAGTAATTTTGAGTTTCAAGTCTTGTTATTTAGGAAACATTTCAGAAGACTCATGACACCTCATGCAGGCTACGAGACTCTTCTCTATTGTTTTCTAATGAAGGATAGAAATATTTTTCTAATTATCTTTTATCTTTTCTAATCTATCATTGCTGAAATCTACATTCTTATGTCAATTGCTTAATTTCTTTAAAAAATTAAAGTGTTACTTTTCGCCTTTCCTGTTTTGAGCAGGAATGACTTTCAAGTGTACTGTGATTTAAATTCTTCAAAATTAAATTAAATAACAATTAATAAACTACAATTAAGTTAGGGAATTATTATGTAACACCTAAAGCAACTAATTGCATGCACTTGTTTTAACAGCCAACTGCCAAATTAGATAATGTCCTATATGCATCTTTATACTTCAGAGCTGAGTCTATTCTAGACACTTAGTTAACCACAGTTTGACTGTGTCTTAACATTGTGCCTTTCTTGCGTTTTTTTCTAGGAAGTGGTTCACACTATAAAATAAATTTTAATAAATTACTACGTACTATTTAAGGTATATTATTTCAATAGTTATTTCATATCTGTTAAAACATATTGACTTAATTCCTACCCTATACTGAAATAAGAGTTTAGTATGTAATCCTGGTATTAAACAAATTATCATACATAGAGGTGTACTTTAAAAATTAATCCACGAATTAATAACATTTATATGTTAAAAATAAAAAGTCCATCCCAAATGTTTTTATCTAAAAAGTCTTAACCTTTCAGCACTCAGAATTCCACTTTTTTTCACTTTTAAATTTCTAATATATTTACAAATATTAGGTTGACAGACTTAGTAAATAAAAATACAGGACACTCAACTAAATTTTAATTTCAGATAACAATACATTCTTTTGTTTTGTTTTGCCCCAGCCAGCTCCTACAGGTTGCTCACATTCCGTGGTTTGTTGACCTCTACTTCCAGAGCCACTTTGGCAGTTTGAGACCTAGCATCACACCAAATTTACTTTCATAGTCACAAGTCCCTTACAATAGTAAAGACACAAATTTAGGACATTGTACACACACAATCATACACATTATATATAATCACATATATATTTACACACATATTCATATACATACATTATTTATACATAAACATATACAATTCACAAATTGTAATACACATATGAAATACATGCCACAAAACACGAATTTCTATTCTAATATAATAGTTTAGAAGATTAAAGATTGTATCTGGGAGGAAAAATAATCTATGATAGTGGTTGGGGTCTGAAGCAAATATGCATTTTATTTATGTTAATCAATACATATCTCCATGTGTCTTGATTTTCATCTGATTTATTCTATTATGCTCTGAATGAATTAGAAATACATCTGTCTTTGGATGCTCGTGTTTTGTTCTCATGGATTACTGATCATTTATCTTTAGAGACAGGGAATGGAATTGCTGCCTCTGGAAGTCATGACCTAGTTCAGCAGTAGAAGTGCTTGATAATGTACAATGGAATTTCTCTAGGAGTCTTAAGAACTATACATAAAGGGTAAAAATAGGTAAAAAGGATTGAGTACCTATAATGTGTTCGTTACTAAATATATGTTTGTTTGTTTTTTCATATACTTCCAACAAGAGCCCAATAAGACATTATTTATGCTCCATCTTCCAGAAGACAACCTTGGAACACTAACTGGTTAACTGAAGGTCACAAAGAGCTCAGAATTAAAGTTCCTTACCACTAAGCCTCCTGTAAGTCACAGTTTGTCCAAGGAGTGCTGGAATTGCATACATTGCAACACAACCTTTTCTCTAGAAATTTACCAAGGAAAACCTGACTGACAGTATGACCTTTGGCCCATATAACTCAGATTTGAAGGATCATTGCTGTCAATATGGCCTACAGAATTCAGATTTGAAGGATTATTATTGTCAATATGTACATTAACATAATATTTCCTTTACAAGGTTAATTTAATGCACTGCTGGGGATATTGTAGAACCACTCTGCGTTTCCTCAAGGTCATAGAATTAGAAATTCTGACTGTTCATTAGTCATTTCTTTATATATACATATATATATATATGTATAAACATACACACACATATAAAATTAAAATCGTCTAGATTCAACAAACTTCTAGTGTATTCCATTTCCTATTTTGAACTTGAAATTATATATTGTATTCTATTTTAATAAAAAATAAAATTTTAATTGTTTTCTCTAGTAATAAAAATGGATATGAATAAAAACAAATTATTCTTTGACTTATCAGAGTTATTAAGTTCATTAATGGTAGGTTATTTATTGGTATAACACTTATAATCTGTACATGGTCCTTCTATCATTTCTCTGAGTATTTAAGTGTAGAAATGCCTTACTTAAAATGCAAGAAGTTTCCAGTAAGTTTCCAGGCTCTAGAGATAAATTATTTATGTTAACAAACTGGAAAGAGTTCATTTGCTTTAATATTTATAAGGGAGATCAATGAGACATACAATGCAATATCACTAAGCTCTAAAACTACTATAAAACATAGATTCAATTAATGGAATGTTAACCAAAGAAGAGTCAGCAATTCATAAATAAATAATTGTTATAAATGCCCAGATTTTTGGAGTACCCTGGTGAAGCCAGCTGTTGAGCCATGTATTCCACTACCTCCATCCATTAAAAACTGTAATTGTAAGGAAAATTAGATGCTGTCTTGCTCACAGTAGAATACATATTTTAAAGCTATATTGGTTTTAAGCCTTTGAAGATAATAAGGTTCATTAAGCTATTACCTTTGAGTTACCTGAAATATTGAATAACCTCAGAATGATTCTGTTTGAAGAGATTTAATTGGCATGAGCTTTGCCATGCCTTTTAAATAAAACATTTTGTAAGATACTTATAATAATATTAACTACCAAAACATGTACACAATAGATAAATAAAATTGAAGACTTGCATTAGCTTACAACTTAGGAATAAAAATGATTGTTAAAAACATCTGAATTAAATGAAATTAAAGCCTAAGGTATTTGGAAATATGAGAAACCCAATATACCTTACATAAACCTCAATATTACTGGGCAGAATAAAAGTTCGTTTTTTTCTTTCACCATGAGATGTAAATTAGAAATGTATCAAGCATTTATGAGCAGACAATTAGAATTTTTAAAAAATCAAAGGAAGTAAAGGCACTTTTTCTTAAGATATTTATTTATTCATTTTTTTTTTGAGATGGCGTTTCGGTCTTGTTGCCCAGGCTGGAGTGCAATGGTGTGATTTCGGCTCACCGCAAACTCCACCTCCTGGGTTCAAGTGATTCTCCTGCCTCAGCCCCCGCAGTAGCTGGGTTTACCGGCATGTGCCACCACACCTGGCTAATTTTGTATTTTTTGGTAGAGATGGGGTTTCTCCATGTTGGTCAGGCTGGTCTCGAATTCCCAACCTCAGGAGATCCTCCTACCTTGGCCTCCCAAAGTGCTGCAATTACAGGCATGAGCCACTGTGCCCAGCCAAGGTATTTATTTTAAAATGATATAGGAATAAACCTATAATTAATATTAGTCTAATTTGCATGCAACAACTTTGTAAAACAGGAAGACAATAGCCTAGCTGTTCATTTAAGGGCTTGCAGTTATTTAACCAAGGAAAATTATTTATTTTCTTGTGATTGCCATTCAGCAGTCAGTTAACAATTGACAGTTTTAAATTCGTTGACTAAAATACTATTTTAGAAAATTACAAATGAATTAACTCATACAGTGAGGTGCATGTATCAGTCAATTTACAAGCTTTATCAAACACTTTGATCTTGATCACAGTGAGAATTCTTGAAGTGGTTTATGAAATGTTCATGAATTCTTGGATGAAGCCCAAAATAACTTACCTGACTTGACATATTTGGAGATTTTTATGCAGTTGGTATCACATAGGCTTTTGCAAAAGTATTGTCATTTATTTTTTCAAATACCACAAATAAATGTTGAGTATGATATTTATGTATAGTATTCAGGTGTGAGTCGTACCTTTTTAAAATTCGGTGAGAAATGCTGTATCTATAACCTTCAATACTAGGCCCTTGCAAAATTTATTTCCCTCTTTGAAACTACGATTTCAAAAACAAAATAGACTTTTTGTTTTCTCTTTTTATTGCAAAGTAATATCACTATTAGGAATTTATTTGTGTTGTTGTTATTGTTGTTGCTGTTGATAATCATTACTGACCCTGTATTATTGCAAGGGGCTAAACTATTTTAAGTGTCTCACTGACTTACAAAGGCTCAGTGATGGTTACCTTAACTCATGAGGCAAATTATTTTTGATTTTATAGATGTTGAATTATTCAAGATGTTTTTAGTTAAAAAAAAAAAAAAAACACCGATAGATAATGAAGTATGTACCAATGTACTAGAGATAGTTTTAACCACACAGTTCCCCAGAGTAAAGATATTGGCAGGTGTGTGAAAACACTGATTAAGTTGCCTATATTTATTCCAATGGGGGCATATAAAATGATTATAAATTCTGTTTACATATGAAAACATACTTATGCTGGAAATGATTGAAAGAAAAAGTAAAAAGATACTTCACTTAAAAAAATTCACTGAGGAAACTTTGTTTTATCCTTATTCAATTGCTTCTCATTGACTGTTCCTACATACCAGAAGGCTGTATGCTCTCAACACATCTGTTATTTCCTAGTATCAGCACCAGGGAGACTCTGTGTATTCAAAGCTTTCATGTTGCACTGTAAGAATTACATGTTTGTTATTTATTTATTGTTCATTTGCATCTGTATCATCATTTCACAATCATGACTAGCAACATTTTGATTGGAATAAGAAAGAATGCACTGTAGGTTTTGAAATTACTACAATAAGAAAAACCAAGGCTAGATAGACACAGATGTTTTAGCAAGAGGTAGCATATATTTGTTTAAGTAAAGTGGCTAAGTAAAAAGTGTTTTATTTATTTTCTTGGTTCTCCTAAAATTGACTTGAAGTCTCCTGCAATGAGAAGTAAGAATAACTTGTAGTTTCCTTGGGATTTTGAAATTTGATCAAGTTGGAAGAAAAAATTCCTTCAACCCAAAGTTAGCAAAGAAGAATGACCAGTCAACAATAGTTAGAAAAGAAACTCAACAGGAGCAACAAAACCAATTGTATTAGTCAGTTTTCATGCTGTTGATAAAGACTTACTGAAGACTGGGTAATTTATAAAGAAATAGAAGTTTAATGGACTCACAGTTCCATGTGGCTGGGGAAGCCTCACAATCATGGCAGAAGCATGTCTTACATGACGATGAGCAAAAAGAGAATGAGAGCCGATTAAAAGAGTTTCCCCCTATAAAACCATCAGGTCTCATGAGACTTGTTCACTACTAGGAAAACAGTATGGAGGAAACCACCCCCATGATTCAATTATCTCCCACCGGCTCCCTCCTACAACATGTGAGAATTATGGGGGCTATAATTCAAAATGAGATTTGGGTAGGGACACAGCCAAACCATATCACCAATACGTAAAAGAAGACAATACAATGACAGTAATAGAATACATGAAATCCTCCATGGAAAAATTTGATTCTCACACTGTGCATAACACTTAAGAGAGTTCACAAATGCTTTGTTACTTTGGGTAAAATAAGTTAATATAAGGTAAAAAAAAAATCATTTCCTAGACAGAGCTTCTCTTAGCAATTAAATATCTGAATATATTTTTCAGGTTGACATTAAAGTTACAAATATCTTTTTAAATTTTTAATGATTATGGGTACCAAATCAGTCTATACATTTATGAGGTACATGTGATGGATGAAGAAAAATTTACAGAGGTAGTAACGAAAAACCCGGTGGGACAGTCTAATTCATTCAATTATTATGTATTCTTTTTTAAAATAAAAAAAATGTTTTTCACATACACATACACACACTCTCTCTCTATATATATATATAATCAAGAGCCAAAATAATATTCTCACGTGACTAAGAAATTATTAACTGATAGCATATTCTTTTTATTAAAAATATTTCCCATGATTTATGGTGCAGAACTCTGAAGATAAATTATGTATTATAGGCATCTGTACAAATTTAAAACCACTTGATGTAATGACATTTGTCCCCACTTTAAATTACCTCTGTTATCAAATTTTATCATATGGTTGGCCATCTGAAGTGAGTGAAATAGTATCAATTTATTTAATTCAAAAAAATAGAAAAAAAGATTTTTCATCTTCAGGTTTGGACTAGAAACCATGGAGGTCTCATTTGCTAGGTGCATGAGCTTTCAAGCTCCTGCCAAAAGATCCATTTTCAAAATTATAGTTTGTAGTAGTCAAACAACATGCTAAAAATTCATTGTTACAGGATTTAAGCTTTCTTTGTATTTTAAGTTTTGTTATGAATGGCTCATACTTTTAATAGAGAAAGTTTAAAACTTGTTTACAAAACCAATTCAAACCTATCATGCCTTAATATAGGAAGTTTGTTTTTTTGTTTGTTTTTGAGATGGAGTTTTGCTCTGTCACCAGGCTGGATTGCAGTGGCGCGGTCTCTGCTCACTGCAACCTCAACCTCCTGGGTTCAAGCAATTCTCCTGCCTCAGCCTCCTGAGTAGCTGGGACTACAGGCACGTACCACCATGCCTGGCTAGGTTTTTGTATTTTAGCAGACACAGGTTTCACCACGTTGGCCAGCATTGTCTCGATCTCTTGACCTCATGATCCGCCCCCTTCGGCCTCGCAAAGTGCTGGGATTACAGGTGTAAGCCTTCATTGCTGAATGTATTATTTATTATCAGATGCAATAACCCTAAGAAAAAGATTCATGTAATGTATTCTTGTAAGTATTTGGTATTAGTCCTGTTTTTCTCATGAAAAGTCTTCTAGAATTAACAATGAGAAGACAGCAAGTAATTTGCCATTTATCATAGTCTCCCTAATGCATGACTTCAGTAAATCTCCAAGTTAAATGTAAAATTTGATTGCACTAACAATTATCTTTCCTTACTGTTCAAAGGATTTATCCTGTATCTTTTGGTTTGGTATTTGATATCTTTCTATAAATCTAACCTATTAAATAGAGAAAGATATAAAGATATATAGAGTTGTATATATATATATATATATATATATATATATATATATACACACACACACATATTTGTAGAAAGACCATATTTTAATAATTTGGTGGTGCATAATATAATGAGTTGTTGTGTTTAATCAAAAATAATTGAATGCATGCAAAACAAAAATTTCCCCAGAGAACTCAGATTATGCTGTGTGTATGGAACAGTTCATGAAAGATATAATAAAGGAGTGATATTTAAGCTGCATTCTGACTGCATTTTGACCGCAGCATGATTTATTTTTAAATTATAGTCCAATATTGGTAACATTTAAGATGAAATGAAAATGAAGACAGTTTGAAGTGTGGGAGATAAGACTGGATGATTATTCAGGGAACATATTTTGAGAAGTCTTACAGATATATTAGGAAATTCGAATTTTATTCTATATGTTAGTACTTAGAAAATTACTTTTTCATAATACAAAAATGATGCATATTTTCCTAGAATGTCTAGCAATACGGAAGTTGTAAATAAATGTTAACTTTTGTATTTCCCTTTCTCTGGAATGACAGATTTAAAAAATCTAAAATAATTTCATCAAACTAAACTTCTAATAGGAAATACAATAAACTTAAGAATAATCAATTTGAGAAGTAAATATAAGGTAAATCACAGGGCTCAAAGAGGAGGAGGTAGCATGATTCCACAGTAATAAGCTAGTGTTGAACCCTCGGCTATATCAAGAACATTTAGCACTGTGTATGAAAAACCAGTCATGATTCAGAAAGCAAGACATTAAAACTGTTCAAGGTACACAACAGGAAACATGCCTTTTAACTAAAGCCAAGACTTCTTGAAAAACATGAGTGATAACAAAAATAAAATTAATAACAGAAAAAGAAAAACAACTAAATATCTTGATAGTAAAAGAAACTTAGAAAGAAAACAAAGGAAGGAAACAAAGGAGGAATGGAGAGATGGGAGGGAGGCAGAAAGAAAGGAAGAAAGAACAAGAAAACAAGCCTCCCTTGACATTGTATAGGAGGAGACCAATTAGCAGTTCAAAAAGTAGTTCAGTGTTAATAAGCTTTTTGTTGTTGATAATATTCTTTATTTTTAAAGATTAAAAAATATTCATATATATCATATTTTCTTTATTCATTCATCCTTTGATGAACACTTAGATTGATTCCACATCTTGACTATTGTGACTAATACTGCAATGAACATGGTAGTGCAGATATTTCTTCATGAAACTGATTTCATTTCTTTTGGACATATACCCAGAAGAGGGATTGCTGTATCATGTGGTAGTTCTATTTTAATTTCTTGGGGAGCCTCAATACTGTTTTCCATAAGGGTTGTACAAATTTACATTATCACCAATAGTATACGAGGTTTGCCTTTTTGCCCAAATCTTTGCCAACACTTGTTATCTTTTGTCTTTTGGTAATAGTTATTCTAAGAGATATGAGGTGATATTTCATTGTGGTTTTCATATGCATTTCTCTGATTATTACTGATGTTGAACATATTTTCATATAACTGTTGGCCAGTTGTATGTTTGAGTAATGTTTATTCAGGTTCTTTTTGCATTTCTTAATCAGGTTATTCATTTTTTTGCTATTGAGTAGTATGAGTTCCTTATATATTTTGGCTTTTAACTCCTTATAAGAAGCATGGTTTGCAAATATTTTCTTCTATTCCATAGGTTGTTTTATCACTCTGTTTTCTTTTTGGTGTAGAAGCTTTTTAGTTTGCTGCAATCTTGTCTGTTTTTACTTTTGTTACCTGTATTTTGGAGTTGTATCCAAAATATCATTGCCCAGACCAATGACAATAAATTTCCCCCTATGTTTTCTTCCAGTTATTTTATAGTTTCTGGTCTTATGTTTAAGGCTTCAATCAATTTTGAGTTGATTTCTGTATATGGTGTGAGATAAGGTTCTAATTTCATTTTTCTGTAAGTGGATATCCAGTTTTCAATGTCATTTATTGAAGAGACTTGCCTTTCTTTACGCCTATTCTTGCTATCTTTGTTGAAGATCAATTCACTGTAAATACAAAGATTTACTTCTGGGCTATTTTATTCCATTGGTCTATAAGTCTGCTTTTAATCTAGTACTGTACTCTTTTGATTTCTACAGCTTTGGAATATATTTTCTAATCCAATAGTGTGATGCTTCCGTTTTTGTTCTTCTTGCTCAAGGTTGTTTTTGCTATTTTGTGTCTTCTGTGGTTTCATATAAATTTTAGAATTATTACTATTTCTCTGAAAAAAATGACATTGGAATTTTGATAAGGATTGTGTTGAATCTGTAGATTGCTTTGAATGGTATGAACATTTTAAGAATATTAATTCTTCTAGTTACTGAAGACAGGATATCTTTCCAATTATTTGGATACTTTTCATGTCTTTCATAAGTGTTTTATAGTTTTCAGTGTATAGATCTTTCACCTCCTTGATTAAATCCATTCCTAAGTATTTTTATGCTATTATAAACAAGATTTTAAAAATGTTTCAGATAGTTTATTACTAGTGTATAGATGCAAAACAGATTTTGGTATGTTACTTTTGTGCCACGCAACTTTTCTGAATTTATTAGTTCTAAGTTATTTTTGTGTCATAAGTAGTGTTTTTTGTATATAAGATCATGTCATTTGCAAACAGAGACAATTTAATGCTTCCATTCCTATTCAGATTTCTTTCATTTTTTGTTTGCCTAATTGCTTTAGCTAGGACTTCGGGTACTAGACACTAGGTTATAGTGGGCATCCTTCTCTTGTTACCGATCTATGATGTTAGCTGTGGGCTTGTCATATATAGCATTTATTATGCTAAAATGCATTCTTTCTACACCTAACTTAATAAGAATTTTTATAATAAACTGGTGTTGAATTTTGTCATATGCTTTTTCTGTATGTATTGATAAGATGATATTATTTTTATCCTTTATTCTGTTAATGTGGTGTATCCCATTTGTTGATTTGCATATATTGAATCATCTTCTCATCCCTGGAATGAATTCTCCTTGATCATGTTGAGTGACCTCTTTAAGGTACTATTGAATTTCATTTTTTTTTTTGTTTTTGAGGATTTTTATGTCTATATTTATCGGGGATATCAGCCTGTAAAGTTTTTTTCTTGTAGTCTTCTTGTCTAGCTTTGGAATCAGGTTAATGCTGGCCTGGCAGAGTAACTTTGGAAATGTTCCCCTTTGTAACATCTTTTGAAAGAAATTGAGAAGGATTGAAATTAATAATTTTTAAGATTTTGATAGAATTAACCAGTGAATTTTTCCAAATTTAAAAAGTTTTCTGACATTATTTGTTAAAATTACCTTTCCTTCACTGTCTCTTTCTTTGCTTCTTCTGTAACTCCCATTGAGTGTACATCATTTCTCTCCATGATGTCTCATAAGTCTCATCAGACTTCTTTACTCTTTTTCATTCTATTTTCCTTTTTGTTCCCATGAATGGATAATTTCAAATGAACTGTCTTAAAACTTGCTGGTTCTTTCTTTTATTTTATTGAATCTGCTGTTGAAGCTCTCCATTGAGTTTTTCAGTTCGGTCATTGCATTTTTCAACAACAGTGTTTCTTTTTTATGTGTGGTTGCTATACTTCATTGAACTTCTCATTTGGTTGATGTATTATTTTCCTGATTTCACTTAGTTGTCTGTGTTCCCTTGTAGTTTGTTGAATTTTTAAAAGACATTTATTTTGAATTCTTTGGAGGGAGTTCATAGGTCTCCATTTCTTTTTTTGTTTGTTTGTGTGTTTGTTTTTTGGGACAGAGTCTTGCTCTTTTGCCCATGCTGGAGTGTAGTCGTGCCATCTCGGCTCACTGCAACCTCTGCCTCCTGGGTTCTGGCAATTCTCCTGTCTCAGTCTCCCGAGTTGCTGGGATTACAGGCACATGCTGCCAAGCCTGGCTAATTTTTTGTGTTTTACTAGAGATGGGGTTTCACCGTGTTACCCAGGTTGGTCTCGAACTCCTGAGCTCAAGAAATCCACCTGCCTCAGCCTCCCAAAGTACAGCGTGAGCCACCACGCCCAGCTGTCTCCATTTCTTTAGAGTCAGTTATTGGTGTTTTCTATTTGTTTTGTTTCTTTGGTAGGGTCATTTTTTTTTCCTGATTATTCATGATCCTTATGCTCTTGCATTGATGTCTATGTATTTTAACAAGCAGGCACCTCTTCCAATCTTTATAGGTTGGCTTCATCAGGGAAAGCCCTTTACCAGTTAGCTTTTCACGTGTATCTGGGTGTGCCGCCTTGTAAGGTCTGGAGCCAGGCTTGCTGCTGGAGTCCATGGGCATGATGGCCTGGTACCTGGGACAGCAGACAGGCAAGTCTGGTGCCTAAGCTTATGGTGGGTGAGCTTGGGGTTAGGTCAATAGGAGTAGGCCTACAGGTTGGAATGCATGAATAGGCCTGATGTCTTAGTCCAGAGGGACAGATCTCAGGTCTGGGTCCTGGGTTCAGCTGTACTGCCCTGTTTCTGGGGTCCACTGGGTTGGGCCTGGTGACTAGTTCCAGGGAGTTGGGCCTGTAGCTTGAGATCACAATGGTTGGTCTGAAAGGTCTAAGTCTAAGGGAGAGCAACCTTGTGCTGGAGCAGGCATTGACTTTGAGTACGTAAGTGCCATCCTTATTCTCTAAAGGGCCTAATGACGATGTATGTGGGGATGGACCTAGTGCCTGGCACTATTGGGGCTGGCCTGGAGCTGTGGTTTGTGGGAAAGATTGATTCTCACTTCACTTTCGTTTCACATGGAGCATATTTTTGTTTGAGTTTCACTGCATAATCTTGGGGGAAGTATGACACAAGTAACATGAAGCTGTCCTTCCTACCTTCTTCAAAGATATTTTTAAATTCCTGTGCTATATTTAGGTACTATAATTTCTCATCTGGCTTTAGCTCTTGTGATGGTATTTTCATGCATGAATAGTTGTTTAAATTAATGTTTCTCCATGGGAGTGAGTGCTGGAAACTTCTATCCTACCTTGTTTTTAAGTCATTCCCCTTTGACTCTGTGCATGTGTGTGTGTGTGTGTGTGTGTGTGTGTGTGTTTTCTTTTTTTTTTTCCATTCAGTCAAAAGAAAATTTCACAGGATTAGGGTTTTCATTAATATATTTTTAGCATAATTTAAGTTTTAATGCCACTATAATTAATAGTCTAATCATACTTACCGCTTAGAATAGCATTTTAAAAATAATTTTCCATAAAACTAATGGAATCTTAATGTAGAAGTCATTCAATCTGCCCAAACATTGGTAAACTGCCCACCCTAGTTAGCCTGCATTATGTTTTATGCTTTATTGTGTTGTATTTTCCCTGATAAGTGGAAAACACATTTCTTCTTGCAACCTAGTCATACTCCTATCATCACTCTCGCCAGCACATCCTCACACTCTTGTTCCCTGGCCCAGTGATTTTCTCTTGATCAATGTTTGTTCAATACAATCTGTAAAATGATGACGTAAACAAATACATCTCTCCTAGTAAGACTGTCCAAAGTGCTTTGTTATGAAATATAAGTGAAGCACCTTCATTGTCTGGGGAGATACCCGAGGTTCATTGTCTCACGCCGAGTTTATCAACAGGGACACACATGGGGTGGGTTAAGGAGCAGAAAGTTTAGTAGGCAGGAAAGAAGAGAAGAACTCCTCCATAAAAAGGGAGGAAGGCTCCAAATGGAAACAAACAAACAAAACAAAAAAACCCTTGTGGTGGGAAGCAGTAGGTTATCTAAGGAGGCTTGAAGAGATGGTGTCTGATTTACATAGAGCCCACGGGATTGGTTTGACCAAGTGTGTCATTTACATAACCCTTGTAGAAACTAGCCTTTCCTTTTATTATGCAAATGTGACCTCTACCTGGTTGGTACTATGACACCTGCACACGTGGTGACAAAGAAAAGGGAGGGGGAATCACCATACTGGGTAGGCCTGACTTTTAGTACAGCTGCCAGCATTTATCTATGCAAGCTTCCAGCTTGCTTATCTATGCTTGCAGCTCGACTCTTTAGGATGCTTTTTGTTAGAAAAGAAATGGTTTAGGGACTGCTTTTTCTTATAAGAAGAAGCCTTACCAAGGACTCCTGTACCCTTGTTATCTGCCTAAATAATTTATTTTTAACTCCTATATTATAAGCATGTTTCTGGAAATTGGTAAAATGAATTTCAGACTATTGTCTGAAGTATAAGAAGAACTTCAACTAATAATTCCATAGGTTGCTTCAGTTTCTTTTTTTTAATTTTTAGTCAAACATGGAAAGAGGGGTGCTATATTACTACCAATTTCACTGAATCTTTCAGTAGAAAACTCCTAAAGGGCAAAATTCCTGAAATCATGTTTTGTAATAAGACCCTAAAGTATGGATAAGAACATAACCAGTGTATCTAGACAACAGCAGTGTTCAATATTTGTATTTTCTAATTTTCTTTACATTCACAGAATTCACTTTTTTCCTTAAAGACAGAATGAGTGTATAAAAAAGGTTATAAGCATTCCTCTAATAGTAGCTTCATAATGATGCCAAATTATCTTTCCTATTTCCAAAATAATTCATTTATTTTTGTTTTCAACTGAAGAAATACATATTTGATAAGAAAAAAAAGAATTTGGAGGAGAAACAGGGGAAGGATGGAAGGAGAGAAAATAAAGAAGGGTAATCATTGTAGCACCTCTTATATATATAGCAGAAAATTCAGAAGGCAAGTGTATAATACATGATAAAACTGCAAACTTCCCAGTAACAAAATTTATGGCTTACCGTAATTGAAAATCAATAAATGACAACCTGTGCTATATTTTATCTGACTCTTAAAAATATATCTTTGAAGGACAAAATAGTCATTTCCTTGTGGTACTGAGTAAATAAATAAGTCATAAAAATGAGCCATTGCTGTTTTCTCATTGGTGTCAGATTTACTATAATCTGCTAAATTAACCTCACTTTATATCTTTGCTGGCCTGAATGGCTATTCAGACTTTATTTTTAAAAATTTAAATTATTATCTTTATTCTCAGGACAAATTTTCCTATTTTTATTGCTCCCTTATCTTAATTATGATGTTCTTTATTACACAGAACAGTAGATTAAAAATATTTGGTCATGGTCATATATTTTAATTCCATTGACTTTCAAATATTTAAGAATCATTGGCTTGAGACTTCTTAGTACACATAAGATAATAGTGACAGCCTTATTTCTGAACTGCTTCACCCATCCTACTGCATGAACGGGAAACAGAATAATTTAAAAATGAATTTACTTTTATCTTGGGAAACCAACATTTGAAAATAGCAGACACAGATGTGGAGCCCATTTTGATGAGTAACAGATCACAAGAAGATTGCAAAAAAGGACAACTCTTTAGTTTTCCAGGTGTGGTGGTGTGTGCCTGTAATCTCAGCTACTTGGGAGGCTGAGGCTGAGGTAGGAGTATCCCCTGCGGGCAGGAGTTTGAAACTCCATCGAGCTTTAGTTGGGACAGCCTGGGTGACAGAGGGAGAGTGAGTCTCTAAATTTAAAAAAATAATATTTTAAAACAAGAGTGTGTACAGGGACCATAACAGTGATGAAACATAAATAAAACTGCCCCAGAGAGAGTCTCCTGTTCTAGGTAAGGAATGCTGACAATAGGTCATATCTGGTGCATTAAAAAAGGAAAATTTTAAAAGAGGATGGCATGGGAAGCACTTAAGAACAGGAAGGAGGTTTGGTGGTGGTGAACAAAGAGAAATAAGCATGCCATTGTAGTTCATAAAGCCATGGAAACAAAAAACCATCACAGAGTCAGAAGCAGAAAGCACACTGACCTCTCCCCACCATGAAGGTATCATTTATTAAAGATGTGAACTTCACTGTACCATCAGAATAAGAAACAATAAACATATAAAATGAATGTGTCATCTAAGCTCATTTCCCATTCCACCCCAATTTGCTTCCTGTTCATTCGGAACATTTCCAGAAAGTTTATTATTAACAAGAAAACCTCATTTATAGCCATACCAATCTACCGTTTAAGACTAAAAATTACCAATCAAAAATGTTATGTTTAAAAATATAAATAGCCTCTGATACGGAAAAAAAAGGCAAAGGTTAACTGTACACTAATTTTTCACCCTAGTTAAATAAAATTTTAAAATAGAAATACAAAAGAAATGCAGCAAATTAGATACAAACGTAAACTCGTAACTATAATATACATGCAAAAGAAAGACTTGAGATAAAAAGAAATTGAACAGAGAAACTATTGAAGTACAACACAACATCATCTCATGATTAATTAGTACAAGATGCCAGTGGAAAGACAGATGCAAGCTGCAAATAAAGGAATAAGCGTAAAGGGTAAAAAAATTTTTTTTTTTTTGTTGAGACGGAGTTTCACTCTTGTTGTCCAGACTGGAGTGCAATGGTGTGATCTCAGCTCACTGCAACCTCCACCTTCTGGGTTCAAGTGATTCTCCTGCCTCAGCCTCCTGAGTAGCTGGGATTACAGGTGCCCTCCACCATGCCCGGCTAATTTTTTTGTATTTTTAGTAGAGACGGGGTTTCATCATGTTGGCCAGGCTGATCTCAAACTCCTGACCTCAAGTGATCCACCTGCGTCGGCCTCCCAAAGTGCAGGGATTACAGGTGTGAGCCACCGCAGCTGGCCAAGGAAAATAAT
This sequence comes from Homo sapiens, assembly GCF_000001405.40. NCBI lineage: Eukaryota > Metazoa > Chordata > Mammalia > Primates > Hominidae > Homo > Homo sapiens. The sequence continues at coordinate 81,661,996 of NC_000013.11, forward strand.
TTTTAAGAAGGGCCAGGACAAATAAGCATAGACAAAATAGATCATCTGTATGTGTATGTATATATCTCTATGTCAATGTTTAAACACATAGGTATCAATACACAAGTAGGACACACTTGTGTGTGTGTGTATATGGACACACACACACACACATACACACACACACACACAAATTGTAGACTCTGAAGAGCAAAAAAATTTAAAAAGGAAAAAATAATGTTCAAAATCAAAAGAATAAAGATTATGATTTAATAAGGATATCAGAATTTATATATTGAAAAGTTGATCTTATGCCAGCAAAAAAATAACTTGAATGGTAAATCTAAAGAAAACAACAAAAATCTTATCTTAGGAAAGCTATTATGGTTTAATTATAAACAGAAAAAACCCTTCGTACCACAGTCTAGGCAGTAAGAAAAGGGAGTTACAAAATGCAATATAAAAAGCTTTATAACCATGCCTTTAACAGCAGCCCCAAATTAATGCAAAATTATCCTTCCTATTTATTTCCAAAATAATCCATTTATTTTGGATGAAGTAAAATAAAAATAAAATATAATGAAATAGTTTTCCCCAGACAGTAACAGCAATATACAAAGAAGGTCAAGAGTGGAGCATTCTTTTCAAGAAACTTGAAAGATTAAACTGAACACTTAAAAGAGCAATAAACATTCAAAAACAAAAGAAAAACCTACTTATGATCCCTCCCTTTGAAATCTATCAGGTGATGAGCTTCATCCAATGAAAGACAATAGAAGAATCTTTAGAAAAGAATTGATGAGAGTCATTTATTATATTTAATTATTGATTAAGCTTTGAATCAAAGCTGATCATTTGAACACCAAAATAATATTAATTGATTTTACTTATTAAATCTTGACTCCATACTGACTCTCACTTAATAAACTGAGTCAATAAAAGACACAGTGGTAAGAAAATATTTTCTTTTCAGAAGAATATAGGCTAATACATGAGATGCCATCTTAAAATTTTTAAAAAGCATTTTTCAACCATAAGTGTAGTAATTTAATGGAAAAATAATGATTGATTCAAAGTACTTTGGGAAACATAATAGTTTTATGTTGTCAAAGTATCAGCAAACAGACTCCTTTACTATTCAGGAAAGGAAAAAAATGTGTCTTTAAGGTGGATAAATCTGGTAGGTACTACTTTAACCAAGTGGTCAAACTTAGGAAAACTAACATTAGGACAACTTGACATTATGTACAGCTGACGTGATGCAACATAATGGATGTAGCATTGCCTATAAATTATTCTTACCTATCCTGTTTTACTTGAACAAATCAACCTTTTAGACATAAACCCAGACAAAATACATAGGGTAGTGGAACAAGTTATATACCATGAGACAACACTGAGACAAATCCAGAATGTGTGGACCATCAACCAGACAATTGACTGGACTCTATCCAATATATACACCATAAAAACAAGAACTTAAAAACAAAACAATAAAAACCAGTTGAGGATTTTTCTAGATAGAAAGAAACTGAAAAATATAACAAAAAAAGGTACTGTCTGAGACTTGACTGAATATGGTTTAAAAAATCAATTAAAGAGATGTTGAGGGCTATGAAAAGAAATTTATATATTGGTTGAACATTAGATGGCATAAAGGTGCAGTCATTATTCTACTTAGTTGTGATACTACTACTGAAATTATGTAAATGAATAGCTTTGACTCTTAGAAGGTGTATGTGGAAATATTTAACAGTACAGTTAAAGTGATAGTAGCTTGCAACTGGCTCAATGAAGACACACAGATACGCTTGTGCCTATAATGAAAATGATGAGATTATATAAATATATAAATATAGATACAGATATAGAGTTGGAGATGGATAAAGCAAATTTGAGAAACATTCATGAATTCAATCTTTATAATTTTTTCTAAATAAATGTTGATATAAACTTTGTGAAATATATGTACTATAATTTTTTTAGTTAAACATTGAAATAAATATAACCCTTTTATTATTTGGCAATCTATAACAATATAGTTGAAAAAATATATTCTATAATATCCACAATATAAAATACTCATTAAACATAGTTTGTAAAATGAAGATTCAAGCATTAACAATTATTTTGATATGTTTCTTACCCCAGGGAAATATAAAAAGTCAAATACAATAATGTAAAAAAAGTTATTCACAAATTATAATTAGATAAAATCAGTGCTCAAACTACGTTATTTTAAAAATTGATTTAATTTGAAGATAATTTTCTTACAATATGGAAATAAATATAGGCACATTTTGAAACCACAGGGGTAATTTTTCAATTAAAAATATCCTCACAAGGATAAGCTTTCAATTAAAATATTTTGAAGATATTTTAATGTCCATTTTTAATAATAATGTGTCACGGAGAGCAATTCTGAATGTTCTTTCAGAGTTATAGATATTTTGTCACTGAATTATAAATTAAAATATCTGAAAATTTAATTACTAAGCATTAACTTTAAAAATGTTGTATTTTAATTAATGAAGAGTAATATGGAATCATGAATACAAGTGTATCTTAAAGCTCACCAAACGAGAATGCTTGCTTTAGAGAGAGAAATTCAGCCATGAATAACTTGTAGTCTGACATGCTTTGATAGTCTCTAATGTGCTACTGGTGTCTCTCAATTGTCAAACCCAAGAAGAAGATGAAAGATGAGAATTCTTTGATGTAATATATAAGAATGAGCTTCTCAGACAGACCAGAGTGGTGAAGTTTTGAAGTAGACTGAGTGCCAAAAACATCCTCAAATCTTCACCAATCCCTGTGTCCCTTATCATCACAATGTAATTTTGCAGCTTCTCCCTTCAAGAAGTGGTATCTATTACTCCAGTTCTTCAACCTGCGCTGGTGTATACTTTGCTTTGACTAATATAATACGGTGGAAATTATGTTGTGCCGCTTTAAAACTCAGGTGTCAAAAAATCTTGCATCTTCTGCTTTCTCTTTCTTAGAATCTTGCCAGTGGCATCATTACAAGCTCAAACTAACCTAATGCTGGAGAATGAGAGACCACATAGGTAAGAGATGAGTAATCTCAGCTAAGGACATCCTAGACCAGCCACACTCAACCAATCCTAGACCAGTCAACACAGCTAATCTGCCACTTGACCCTAATTACATAAACAAATCAAGGAAAGAACAGTCTTGCCTTACTCAGGTAAATAAAACTGTGCTGCTGAGCCACAGTATTGTAAAAAAGAATAAATATAAGTTGCCTTAAGCCTCTAAATTTTGGGGTGATTGGTTATGTAACAATAGATAACTGATATAAATTTGCCAGATATTTTTGAGGACCAAATGAATAATACCCAGCATAGTCTATCTTTTTTCCCTCTACATCCTCTTTTGTTATTTGTACACATTTTTATAAAGTATGTTTTTAATACGAGGAACCCAGAAATTTTCCTCGTCAGCTGTATGATTACAGTCAGTTTCCCTCTGCAAACCCATCATCAAGCCATTGCCAGAATCCTATTTTAATGGATCATTCTCTGGGGCCACTCCTAGAACCAATTCTGAATAAATAAACTCTATGCGTGAAAGAGATGCTTTACCAAGAGGGGGTAATTAAGGAGACTTTAATAAAATTTAAGAAAGATTCTGTTTTAAGATGTATGAGCATAATAAAGGGAAATCCAGAAAAGCTGGTGAAGCACTTTATCATCTCTAAATTTATCATTGCTAAAGGTGCAATGGTGTAGAGCAGTGGCTAGGATCCAGAGCAAGTTGTGTCTGTAGCTGAGGTTCACTTAACCTTAGCTGTGCTATTGACAGTGAAATACAGCCACTGACAGTCTTGGACCGGCAAGAAGGGAGGGAAAGAAATAAATCCCTTAACCTTTTTTCTAGTCCAACGTCTCATCTTTTGTTGGTGCCTTTTATTGGTGAAGTCTAACAGGGAAATAGGAGGAAAGGCCACCCTTCGAATCAATCTATAAATATCAGTTTCCTTGCGCTATAGGCAAAGTGATAATAGATTTGGAGAGAAAAACAGAATATCAGCATGACCATCACATACTGATCATATTTTTACAATGACTTACTTATGCAGACCTTCCATTCTGAATACTGGTGCTTGATTTTACATGAGGTTTTTAAGTTTAATATAAAATCTAAATATGACTAAATCATTGCTATATTTCATAAAAGATGATATTAAATGATATTAATTGATATTAATCTAGAGAATAAAACAGGCATTTTATTTCTACGTATTGTATTTTGGAAGTTTCCTCCTAAATTGGAGTTCTAGTATCAGAGTAGCCAGCAATTTTGCCCTAACAAGAAATAAAGGAGAGCTGGGCATGGGTGTTTAACAGTGTACCCTTAATGGATACTTCTTTTACCACCCCTTATCGGGGGGTCCCTCACATGGGAAACTTGTTTATGCTGGCAGATTTCCCTGTGGCTCATGTCTGATCCATGTCCAGTTTAGGCCTGCCTGACTATTGCTCTGGCACTGGGAGCCTGAACTTGTGTTCTCCTTGGCATTGCAGGGAAAACCTAGCCTGAGATAGCCCTTGGTTCTTCAGGTAGAAAGTACGAATTCAACCTACTGCTACATTAGGAAACAAATTCAAATATTTTTACCTACAGTTCTGAGCAAAGAGGGCCTATTGGGTCAGGAGGGCAGTCCTCTGTCTCCTGCCACGAGGCAGGAATGAAGAATCAGACAGAGAGAGAGAGAGAGAGAGAGTGTGTGTGTGTGTGTGTGTGTGTGTGAGAGAGAGAGAGAGAGAAAGAGAGAGAAAGAGAGAAGTGTATGGTAACTAACAATATATATAAGGGAATAGAGACTGGGTCACTTTCGATTGGTGGGCAAATGCCTGAATAGCCTCTTTAAAGAAATCAGTGGGAAATTAGGGAGCCCAGTACGCTAGGCAGAAGAGAGACTTCTAAGTACTTCCTCTAGCCACAGACTTGGCTTGAGCTATTTGGGTATGAGGTAGAACAGGAAACTGTCAAGGGTGACTGAGCCCTGCATCTGGTATGAGAAAGTTAACTTGTATTCAAAATGGATGTTAAGGCAACATAAAATTACAAGAATTTACTGATCTTGTTATTACATTTTTGTCTTAATTAAAATGGAATTCTTCTGTATCTCCTGGGTTTTCTCTAATACTTTCAACTTATAAAGTTTTTTTTCCTATAATATGGTACAATGTAAATATTTATTATTCACTAGTAAATGTTGAAATTACATAAGAGGGTATGAGAGATAGTCATTTGCATGATGGTCAATGTAACATATGATATGTTGAGAACTTCTGAGGATGTATTTTTTTCATGCTTTATGAAGACAGCATAATACTGGTTGAAATCTTCATTTTAGAAATTTCAAAATGTTTTGGTAAAATTTGTCACACACACAGACACACACACACACGTGTCTATTCAATTACATAAGAATATGAAGATCTAAATAAGTAGATTATTCAAATAAGCTATTACACATTTATAACAATTGTGTTTCCAAAGGTTTTATGCCTTGTTGCATGGATAAATTCCTGTTTCCAAACATGAATATTTTTCCTTTCCAATATCATTTATAGTTACTTCACTTTTGATATCAGTGGGAAAAACTCTAGCTATGTAGATTAACATTATGTTTCTGTGTTTATTTAGTACATGTCAAGAGTATTTACAATGTGTATATAGCCTTATATGTTTTAGGAATGCAGAGGTGATAAATGACAACATCATTAACTGAGATTAGGAATAGTGAGGAAAATACAAAGGTGAGTAAAGATAATGAGTTTAGTTATGAATATGCTTTGTTTGAGGTGCTTATAAAATGTCCATGTAGTTATTTGGAGAAGAATATTTGGTGTCTGAGCTGTGACAATCATTGGAAAAGAATGGTTAAAAATGTATGTCTGGAGGGTCAGCAGTATATACAAGAATAGCATTATCTAAAGTTTGAAGAGTCATTTTTAGTTTTCTTGTTATCATTTATGTATTTTAAAATTTTATTATAATAAATATTTCTAAGGCAGTAATATTCAATTTTTCTATATAATTTCTGAAAAAGCTGCTAAATGTTTTTATCTGTGTACTTAATAGTTTGGGGACTGACATGCAAATCAGAGTGGAGAAATATACGGGCATGTTTGAATGTAGGGAACTGCATTTTCAGGTGTTGAACACTGGTTGAATGTGTAAAATAATGTGATCTGAGCACTTAAATTTTAATGTGAAATATTGAATACCAATTATTGGAAAAAAAGTATACATTATCCCAGAACTCATGAGAAGAAACCAACTTGTGCAGTAAGTTTGGTTTTGACTTGTGGACTTTGAGTTATTAGAGATGATCTAAATAAAATTTCTTTAAATTTCATTGAAAATAGAGGGCTAAATCTTCCAACAGGGATAGAGAAAGGTATTGGAGAAGAAGGCATTAACTGACTAAAATGTTCACCTGTATCTAGTGAAAAGAGAAAAGAAAAACAACCGAAATGGGTGTAAGAGCTATAATTTATCCAGTATCACATACTTGTGATATGAAATACCACATGCCAAATCCTAATATTCAGTGCCTGGCAGACAAACAGATAATCATTTAATATTACCCTGAATTAGCTTTATTTACAGAGTTGAAGTGTAATATTATTATTTTATTACCAATATTTTAAATTTCCATAGTATAATCTTAAAAGTTGGCAGTGTATGTACATATGAAGGTATCTATATATGTATCTAGACATGTATTCTTTCTCTCCTTCCATCCTTCTTCCTTCCTCTCTTCTTTTATTTCTTAAAAACAAACACAATATATGATCTTTTATGGTTATTTGACAGATTAAATAAGTTGGTAGCAGTTTTTTTAATGGACAAACAGAGAATGATGAGCAGTAATCAAAGCAGTTACTGGAATCAGACATACTTGGTTTCAGATCCATGTTTTACCCTTTACTCTCTACTATATGAATTACCTTGAGGAATCCATATAACCATGGCATCTCAAATTCTTCCCATGTAAAATTAGTCTACTTAACTTACAGATTTGTTATGAGGATTAAATAGGGTAATATAATTTGAGTAAGATTTCTTAAAGTACAGTGTACAACAACGCAACTCAAACTTAACTAAAAAATCAAGAATTTATTGTCTCAGGTAACTACTGGTTTGTCTAGAAATCAGCTTTAGGAACAGGTGGTATAAGAGGCTCAACATTGTCATCAGGACGGGTTCCTCAGCTCTAACTTTCTTTAGGCTGGCTTTATTCACAGGTAGGCTTTCTTCTTAGTGTCAAGTTGGCTACCTGAAAATCCAGGGTTGAATTCATCCCTTCAGCAACTCCAGAAAAGACACAGAACGAGAGAGAGAAAGAAAGAGAGGGAAGAGAAAAAAAACAAGGAGGACGAGGAAGACAAGGAGAAGGTGAACAAAGGAGGGAATGAGGAAAAGAAGGAGGAGGAAGAGGAAAGAGGAGAGGAGCAAGAGAAATTGTCTTTTTTTGCAACAATTCTAACAAATGTTTTATTACTCACACTGTGAATACACACCCTTCAAAAGCTAAGTTAATTTTTGTCTACTTAATTCTGATAAATTCCATAGTAACCAAAGCCCTACATGTGGTTGATTCATAATCCTCAATACAGACCCCAATCTAGGGGTTTTCCTCATTTAGCAACAGGCTTCAGAGATATCCCCATATCCTACATTCAAAGCATTATTTCCAACAAGGTGACTTCTTTTCTAGAGCAATTAAAAGTAATCGTTGGAAGTGAGAGGCCCAGATTCTAAGACCCTTACTTGAAAGATACGCTTCATGTGACATGAACTTTTTGGCCTTTTCTGGCAACCAATACACAGCATGACATGTCCTGGAAAGTTTAGTTACCGAATTAAGATTTCAACTGAGTCTTAAAGGAACTCTGGAGTAACCAAATTACCTGACCAGTAGAGAAAGTAAGAAAATGCATTCTGAGCACATATTCCCGGATGGACAGATGTATAAATTAATGATGATAATAGATTTTTTGTATGCAAACCTTTAGCCTTTAAGATAGTATTTATGGATCAGGGAAAGAGAATGACAGGAAAAGATGTTGCAAAATTTTGATAAGGTGAATTTGTGAAGAGCCTTGAAAATCATAGTAAATGTTTGAGAATTCCTCAAGTAACAAGATGCCTTCGAAGACTTAGAAAGTAATCTTTTTAGAAAAACATGTGGAAACAGCATAATGAGGACATAGACACGGTCTATTATGCAATTAGCTCATTATGCATGAGTATAATGAGGCTGTAGTAGAGGCTTTATGATGGAGATGGAGGTAATTCTACAGTTTTTTTTTTTTTAAATAGTGGAATCTACTTATCTTGGTAAAAGTAGGAAGCAGTGCTTTTAACTTATTGCAAAATAAAATAGAAAAATAAGAAGTTGGAAAAATGGGCCACAAGTTCAGGAAAGAGATCAGAACTGGAGATATGGGAGTCATAAAAATAGGTACTATTTACAGTTTGTTTTTTGTGGGTCAGAGTGTTGTTATATATCATCTCATGTGATCCTCAAAATGTTCAAAGTAGAAAAATTGTCTTTTTAAAAATCAGAAGCTAGATTTAAAAGAAATTTAAAAACTTCCCCAAAGTCACATTATTAGTAAGCAGCTTTACCAAGATAGCATACTTAGAATATTTGAATCCGTAACTTACATTATTTTGAATACCCCACATTTCATACCTGTTCAGTAGTGATAATTGAAGCAGTGGGAACAGATATAGCCACATCTTAATGAGAATTATTTTCAAATGCACATACAAAACCAACATTTGTCTTTACCCTACCATAGCTAACTTCCATAGACATCACATAAGAGTGCACACAAACACAGACACACAACCCTGTGTCGTAAGTTTATGATTTGGGTGTGCTTTTGTGCAATTTCTCTTTGTGTCTTATCTCTTTATTGGGATGTCTCAATACTTATGCTGTGAATACAATTTAAACTATGACAGTTCTGCTTCAGCTTGTCTCTATAAAGTGAGCTTTTTGGGAAGTATTGAATTAGCATTAAATTAGGTTAAACTGACTGCCGCAGAGAATACTATCAGTTAATCAAAAAAATGCATTTTCTCTTCTTCAGCACACAACTATTTTACACTTCCTAACTTCCCTTGCTTTAGATATAACCATATGACTCTTTTCTAAAGAGTAGTACATGAAAGAAGTAATGGGTGCTATTTTGAGACTAAGCTTGGCGTGTGTTTTTCTTCTCAAACTGCCTCTCTCTCTATGCTAGCTGGAGTCCTATAATAACAAGGTGTCAGGCCAAATGACTTAAAGGGCTTGGATTTCTGACACACTATACAAAGGAGAACTGCCTATTGATCATGAAACTACATTGGAGTATTACGTGACTGAGGAATAATCTTTTATTGTGTTTGAGCCACTTGATATTTGGTATATTTATTATTATAGCCTAGACATCTAAACCAACACACTGACATTTAAATATGCAGCATATTTTGGATTTTCAGACTTAATATAAAGATTAGAAATTTGCAAACACAATTTAAAATCTATAATTTTGACTTTAGTATTTCTTGATTGCTAATTTACACTTGAAATAAAGATATTACTCTCTATTTAATATTGAATTTTGTGAAAATATTTAAATGAGCATCTGTGCTGGCAGAGTAAAACTGTCCAAGATCTTTTGCTTATAATATTCCTATAAGAAGATGATTCTGCCACTGTGTTTATAATTATCCCATGACTTTCTTTTATTTCTGTGTTATCATCTATAGGACAGAACGTAAATCACAGCAATTTTGCTCATAATTACAAAGTCCTTCTGAAAACTAGAAGTAGTATACCAGTTACTCATTTATGAAACTGCCTAGAAAGTAAAATTTATTGTGAAGAAATCATGAAAGGACAAGAGAAATCTTAATAACTGGATCTTGGCATAACAAAGAAGTCCTTGAAATGCTCAGACTTGAAATAATCTACTGTGATTTTCTCAGGAGTTTTTTTGTCCCAATTAAGCTTGTCTGTTGTGACTGAATTCTAATTAGTATGGATATTTGTACTTTAGACATTCAGAACTTGAATTAAACTTCATAAATCCATGAGACCAAAAGTAAAAAATAATAATTCAATGAGCTTAGAATTTTAATGAGAGCATTAGGAAATGTTGGCATTCTTCATATTATAACTTCTACATTTTCCCAAAATATTTCTATACAACTGTTTTGAAAATACAGAATGAATTAACCAGTCAGTTGAGTCAAATGTTCAAAACAGCTTGGAGTCTAGCCAAAAGCACTGTTTGATAAATCAATATTTTAGCTGAATGATTTGTGTTTTAAATTAAAAATATATATTAAAACATCTTCATGAAGACACAGACTTGAAGTACTCTTCAAGGTGCATTTTTAATGTCCTAAATATTTTAACTGGAGGATTTCCTTAAGAAGCTAATATCTATTGCACTTCAGTTACTGAAAACTACCAAGCCCCTGGTAAAGGTTTGAAATGTGATGGACTGCTTCAACAGCAACTATTCTAACTGACAGTTGATTGGATTGAAACCTACCTTTTAATATGTCTACTTTTAAAAGTATTGTTCAGGCAATGGTATTGTAGCAGTATCACTCTCACTGTCCATGAGCAGCATTGGGCATGTATCTCTCTGACGAGAAGTAACTGAAATGGCTTAAAACCAACGGTTTTCAAACTTCAGTGTGTATCACATTTTTCTAGAGAGTTTGATAAAGCACAATTTGCTATGTCTCAAACCTCGAATTATTTTTTTTTTTCAGGAGGGGAGAAAGGACAGTATGTCACTCTGTTGCGAAAGCTGGAGTATAGTGGCTCAATCATAGCTCACTACAGCCTCAAGAACTTGGACCCAAGTGATCCCCCTGCCTCAGCCTCCTGAGAAGCTGGGATTACATTTGTGTGTGTTTTTTTCCCCCCCAAGCACTGCTTTATCAGCATTACTATTTTGATATACCGTATTTTGTTTTTATTTGGTTTTTGTTTTATTTGCTTTGAGATATATTTTATGGACAAGTCATGAATTATCTTGATAAATATTCCATGTTCAATTTTTTGAAAAAGCTGTATACACAGTAGTTTTGAGTGTAGTAGTCTACACATCTCAAGATGCAAATTAGGTCAAAGTGATGGATAGTCTTGGTCAGATGATCAATATTCTTCCTATGTTTTGTCTACTTGTTTTATTTTAATTTCCCAGAGCTGAACAGTAAAATCCTTAACAATGATTGTGGATTTATCCTTCTTTTCACTTCTTTCTGATTTTGCTTTATGAATATTGAAGTTCTTTTATTAGATAGATATCCATTTGTCATTGTTATATCTTCTTCTTCAACTGATTCATTCATTATTATAAAGTGTTACTCTCCTTACCTTGTAAAAAATGTTTTTTAAAAAATTAAAATGATCCATAAAAGCCTTTTTATAAATTAAGATTTCATTGTTTATTTTTCTGTCCTTTTACTTTCAACCCACCTGTGACTTTCTGTCTATCTTACCTGGGGTTCCTTGTAGACAGTATGTTGTCATTTTTTTAAATTCAATATAATAATTGATTCATTTTATCAGAAAAAAATATCTATTTTTATTTAATGTAATTGTTGGTATGTTTGTGTTGACATCCACCATTTTTCTATCTGCTTTCAATTTGTTTTATATGCTTTTTAAAAATAGTTTTCCCTTTTCAGTCTTTTCTGGAATTCACCAATATGTCTTAATATTTAATCTATTTCCTCTACATTTTGCTATACTTCTCTTTATAACTTTTAGTGTTTGTAGCTAAGATTGAAATAGGCCTCCTTACATTTTCATAATTTACTTAGAATTAATAACCTATTACTTTACACTTCACAATTTCCATTACACAAATATAAGAAACTCTCAACTTGATAACATTTTTTTCATTAACCAATTACCCTTTGTGTTGTTTCTAATATACATTTTACTTCCATGCATAGTACAAGTCCTACCTAATGATAAAATTTACTACCTTTAAACAGTTTCTTGTTGGAAAAAAATCATTCACTTATTTACTAACATGTTTATAATTTGTCATTTAACATGCTAATTATTCCTAACTACAAATCTGAATTTTCATATAGTACAATTTATTTTCAGCCTGAAAAGTTTTCTTTAGTATTTCTTGTACTGCATATATATGGTGAACCCTGTGCTCAGTTTTCATTTTTCTGAATATGTATTTCACACACATCTGTTTAAGAATATTTTTATGGGATACAAAATTATTGGTTGATAATTTACTTTCTTAGCATGTTAAATATATAATTCTTTTTATACCTTTATTTTCTGATGATAATTTAGCTGTTGTTTGTATCATTGTTTTCTGTGGGTATTCTGTGATTTTTCATCTTGCTTTAAAGAGTTTTTCCTTTGATTTTCAGCAGTTTGACTACGATGTGCAATGTGTGGGGTTTTTTTTGGTATTCATCGTGCTTCTCATTTACTGAGCTGCATGGGTCTTGAAGTCAATGTTTCTCAACAAATTTGGGAAATTTTCAATCACTATTTTGATCTGTTAAGCCCTTTCTTTTTCTTTTTCTTTTTCTTTCTTTTTTTTTTTTTTTTTTGAGATTCCAAATACATATGTACTACATTACTAGGAACTTCCTCATAGTTCACTGATACTTTGGCATAACTCACTGAAACTCTACCATTTTTATTTTTATTTTTTTCTCTGAGTTTTAGTTTGAATAGTTTCTACTAGTAAATTCCTAAAGTTCACTAATCTCTTCTTCTGTAGTATCTAATCTCCTAATAAACCCATCCAATAAATGTTTTTCATTTCAAATATTGTATTCTTCACTCACAGATTTGTGCAATTGACTTTATCATTTAAATGTTTCTCTTATGATTTATCTTTACTTCTGAAGATCATCTGTTCTAGTAAGTCTCCAACTATACTTACAATAGTTTCTTTAAACTCCTTAAGGGTCTGCTATTTCTAACATCCAGGTTTGAGGTATGTTGTCTTCCTTTACAGAGTGTTTACTTTTGTTCTAACAAACAGTTAATGTATGGTAGTTTCGCTTGAACATTCTGAGGCTTCACTTTAGGCTTTGTCTTAAAGGGTTTAGAGAAGTTCTTACAACATGATGTGGTCCTTGTTCTTAAAATGTGTCCTTTCTCTTGTGTCAGCAGATGTCTCAGATTATTGAAGTCCGTCCACTCAGACGGGTCAGAATGCCAATGTCTCCCAGCTCCATGTGAACTCTTTGGTCTGTCGCAGCTGCTTTCTGTTTGGCCTTTAAAGTGTCATCATGAGCACAATGAGAGCAGACCTTGGATAAGGATTTTTGGTGAACCCCAGTCCCATACAGTTTCCTTGAAATTTCCAACTGTAGCACTACCCCTGAATTCTGACCTTTGTCCACTCTGCTTAGCCGGACTACCATGCTGTCCTTGGGTTTCATCTACTTGAGTCAAATTTAAAAGACTTTTTCTAGGTAGAGAAATGGGGTAAGTGTGGGGCCTACCTCATATGCTTTTCTTCTACTTTTTTTTTTTTTTTTGCACTTCCAGGGTATCATTTTCCTCTAAGATATGTCTGAATATCCTCTCAAAATAGAGATAAGATTTCAAGTTCAGGAACAAAATTTCTAAGTGCACCTTTACACTTAAGTAAAATCGTATCACACGAATTTTCTATTTTCTCAAGCTATAATTATTCTCTATTTGATTTAGGCAATTGTATTGTCGTTATAATTAACATTATTGAAACGGGAAAAGCTCCTTTGTCCCCCTCCTAAGGCTTACGATGGTGGTGAGGCTTGCTTCTTCAGTGCCCCACTGCTCAAATCCCTAGGGGAAGCATGCAGACGGGCAGTTCATGGGGCTGCAACCCCACAGCAGCATCTAGGGTTGAGTGTTTATAGCTCCTGAAGTCCTAGTGGGCTGTGTTACAGTATGCTCATTCAGTTTTGCCGTCTACAGGTGGCTTGTGTTCATCAGCTCAATTAGACCCTCTAACTTATCACAAGGACAGAGGGCTTTCTGTATCCTGGGTTCTTGCCTTAGTGTATCGGAAAAATCAGACCACACGTGGGCTAGGAGGATGAGTGCAAGGTTTTATTTAGTGGAGGTAGCTCTCAGCAAGGCGGATGGGGAAGCCAGAAGGGGGATGGAGTGGGAAGGTGGTCTTCCCCTGGAGTCGGGTTGCCCAGCCGCCAGATTCTCCTCTGACCGAATTCCCGTGAGTGTTTGCATGGTTTTGCCATCAATGGCCTTCCGGCATCTGCCAGAGTGTTCGTCTGCTGGTGTGTTCCTCTTGATGTCCAGCCACGTGTGTGTATGCCTGCTAAGGTCTTGGGGTTTTTATGGGCACAGGATGGGGGGCAGGGGGGCGTGGTGGACCCAAGTGTTCTTGGATAATGCAACATTTGGGCAGGAAAAGAGGAGTGTCTGTCCTTACATAGGTCCTTGGGCACAGGCCCAAGGGTGGAGCCCTTGCCAGGTACCCCACCCTTCTCTACTCAGCACTTCCCTGCCCCCCTCCCATATCATTATGAACAGCAACTTTTCAGTTAAAAATGTAGCTTTGGTGATCATGATGTAATGTATTTGTAAACTGTGTCTTCTAAACTTAATTTCCTTGTTTTTTTCTCCTTCCTTCCTTTGAATTTAAATTTTACATTCTTAAACTCATGTTTTAACTTTACTTCCTGCATATCCTTCATTTTGTTAAAATAAATAATAAGGAAAGCCCAACAGAAATAGGAATAACTAAGGAAACTAATATGGACCAAGAAGTAATTGCAACACAGATACTGAGTTATTAATTTTATATATATTATTTTATATACAACATGTACATAAAGGTTGCATTCTATTTTTAAAATTAAGAGAAGTAAAATAATAAATTTAAATGCTTCTCTAGTATGCCTAGATCTTTGTAAAAGGAAGTTATTTTAAATTCTAAATAAATATTTATTGAATTGATACATTTAATAAAATCTCAAACATATAGAATACTATATTTTAGTATTTTAATTTTACTAAGTAGAAAATAAAAATATTGCAAGTATCTTGAAAGGTACAGTAAAACAAGCACATTGCAACAAGATAAAGATAAATGAGGAAATCAGAAGTTCAGAAAATTGGAATTAAAAAAAGCTCAAACATGCACCATCAATTTATTACTGGTCCTATTTATATTTTAAAGCTGTGCTTAAAGTTGATGTAGTCTTTCTGTTCATTTGCAGTTCCATTGTGAAAAAAAAATGAAATTTCACTTAGAAAAGATATTGCATAATTGTTTATTTTTCTGGTTTGCAATACCTTTAATATGAATATTTTCCCTACTTTGTAGCACAGGACCCAATCTTTGCTATGAATCAAATGAAATATTGGATTTCATTCTATTAAATTTTCTTCAGATCAGGATGACTTAAGTTGCTTAGTAGTTCTTCCTTTCAGTGATGCATAATGAACTATATTTTTTAAAAATAACGTTATTGTCTCAGAATATTCTGCTCACAGACTGAGAAGCATCCATTAGCCAGAGAAGAATTTCTGGCTCCTGAAGAAATTTCGTTGCAGAAATATAATTGAAAAAAAAAAAACATGAAAACACTTTATTAGACACCAATCAAATGATTCTTTTTTAAAAGTTGCCTTATTTTTCTTTGTGTGAAGCGGGAGAATAAGGTCTGGAGGCAGGGAACCTAAGGTCGATTCCCGCTGACTTTCTAGAAATGAATGAAAAGGAAACCTCTACCTCTCCCTGCCTAGGTTACAAAAGGATCAGAGGCAACTCCCTTTGCAACATCCCACTTTCCACTACTGTGGCAAAGGAAAAATGGAAGGTACCTCTGATTGGTCCCCTCCTGCAACCAGTCTTCATGTGCATAGGGTGTAACTTTGCAACTTCACTTCAGCCTCTCATTGGTCACCTCTTGTGCCCAGATTGGTGGTGGGCCACTCCTTCATTTACATAGTGTGTAACCAAGCAACCAATGGGAAACCTCTAGAGGGTATTTAAACCCCAGCAAATTTTGTAACCAGCGATCTTGAGTCCCCTGCTCTAGCCTGCTATCACTCTGTGGAGTGTACTTTCATTTCAATATGTCTGTGCTTTTCTTGCTTCATTCTTTTGTTGCTTTCTTTGTGCTTTTTATTCAATTCTTTGTTCAAAGTACCAAGAACTTGGACGACTTGTAGTCAAGACCCTCCTCTGGTAACAAAAGCAGTATCAATTTTGTCATGGAGTAAATATTCAGTTTTAAAATATATTGATCAATGTGTGCTTACTACAATTTAGAAAGGCTGCACATTAAGAAAGACCTATCTATAGTAAGATACCATAAACATTCAAGTCATTTTTCCCCCAATAACTTACACATTTAAATAAAAATGGGAGACAGCAACACTATCACTATTAGAGAGGCAGCTGCATGTGACGTAGAAACTAGGAAATAGGGTAGCTTTTTCCATCAGACTCTATCTACAATTTAGTGTCTAATTAATTATATTTACATAAATAAGCCCTATTTGAACTCTGAGTAAAATAAGTTATCCAAAAAAAGATGTTTTTATGACATGATTTTAATCAAAACCTTGCAAATAATATGCATGTTAGCAATAAGCTTGTTATTTATGCTGTACTTTAATAAGCTTCATCCTGTTTAAAGATTGCTATGTTGAGATATCCAAAATAATTTCAATTGCATAATGAATACCCATAGGCAAGACATTTGAGAAGTAATAAGCTGTTTATTGAATAATGAAGTGCATTAAATTCATCAAAAAATCTAGATCTCTGGTATAATAAGAGTGTCCTAAAATAATGCACCATGAAAAATTATGGGCAGTATCTACGTATTTTATGCTATGAAAAATACCTTACGCTGAAATATACAGATAATTTACCAGAAACATTTTATTGGAAGTAAAATATTTTATCTCTTTTCTAACTTTTTTGTTATACCCTGAAGCTAGTGCTGATCATAATGCTATGTTTTTATTCACATCTTGTGATCATAATGCTATGTTCTTATTCACATCTAGCTCTTAGTGATGTGATCACATAATTTGGGATCTCTTAGCTTCTCTCTGCTGTAATCTACAGAAGTGTGTACAAACAACTCTTTCTGTCTTCAAGCATCATCTCAGAGAAATGAATATCTAAAGTTAATATTTAGCATTTTCTTCCTATGTGCTTCTGTAGTGTTTTTTTCATAGCTTGATCGTAATATTTTAGCATTTTTAATTGTAATTTTCCCTCTTTCAAATTAAATGCAATCCTTCTTGCTATCCCAGTGTCTACCTGCCTATCAAAATGGCTAGAACGCATTAGACACTCCATAAGGATATATGGCATAAAGCTAGAAATTATAGATTACTCTCCATCTACAAATATTTTACTATTGTTTCTTTATATTTAAAGAGTAACAACAGTCTTATATATTAGAAATACATCATCACTGCATTGATTTTGTATTCCACAATCATATGTAATAATAATAATAATAGCTAACATTTATCAACTGCATGCTCCATGACAGGCACTGTGGTTAGTGCTTCACATGGATTAACCAAGTTGATTACCATTTAAAAAGTCTGTGAAGTAAGAAAAATATATCATATCAATTTTTAAAAGAAAATTAGGCAGGGTGTGGTGGCTCACGCCTGTAATCCCATCACTTCGGGAGGCTGATGCAGGCGGATCACAAGGTCAGGAGATTGAGACCATCCTGGCTAACACGGTGAAAACCCGTCTCTACTAAAAAATACAAAAAATTAGCCTGGCGTGGTGACGGGAGCTTGTAGTCCCAGCTACTCAGAAAGCTGAGGCGGGAGAATGGCGTGAACCCAGGAGGTGGAGCTTGCAGTGAGATGAGATTGCGCCACTGCACTCCAGTCTCGGTGACAGAGCGAGACTCCATCTAAAATAAATAAATAAAAAAATAAATAAAAGAAAAAGAAAATCGGAGTTGCAAAGGATTATGTAATTAGACTAATGTCAAAAAAAAAAAGGACTAAAAATTTTCACAGTTAAAATTCTTTGTGATTCTGGAGACCTGTTTCTTAGCCACTACAGTTCAATACCACTATGTTTCTCTCCTTTCATCCCTCCAACCCCACCTCCCTTCCTCTTTTCCTGGCTCCCTTCTTCTCACTCCCGCTTTCTGTATTTTTCTTAGTCTCTCTGTTTTTCTTTGTTTCTCATCCATAGCTTTTACTAAACACTAAATGCATCAAACTACTGATTAATAAATTTCAGGGAGTGTTTTCCTTTGAGAATATGCAAAACTTTGAAGCAAACAGCACACGTGTTTAAAAATAGCCCTTTGGGAACAAGAGAAACAAAACAAAACAACTATGTCTTCAGTCTTGTATGAATAGAAGCAATGTATAATATTTCAGTAGTCTGGAAATCATTTAACTTGGCAACTCGAAACAGCTGGAACAGAGCTAATGATTGGAAAATAATAAAAATTGTAAAAAAAAGTTAGTGTATATATGTGATAGACATCAAGAATCTATGGACTAAAATTCTTGTACTTTACTGACAAGAGATTTCTTCAGACTGAAAAAGAAAGCAGACCATCTAGCGGGTTTTATTCATTACACAAACATAAACATAGCAACTTACTTGAATAACTGGCAAGCTAAAACTTGTCTGATGATATCAGAGCTACTTATATTTCTTATTTCCATCTTCTGTGTCTTTGTTGTTGATTAGAAAGATTTCTCTTTTCATATTAGGTTATGATCAGGTATTGCATTTTGGTTGACTGAATAAAGTCAATAGTGATATTTGTAGACTCTTCAACAGTGAAACATGATTTAAAAAATAATGCCAATATGATAGGTTAAAAAAAACTAACCGGACACAAATTTACCTGGGTCAAATATTTATCAGAATAAGCTTATATATAATATTAAGGAGAAATATATTGAGGTTATAACCTCAATTTATTATATCAACGTTTGCATCTGTTTTCCATAAAATTATATATGGTAATATTTTAATATTTCTATATCATATATTCTAAATGATAAAATTATGTTAAATATTAAAACATCCCTTTTTGAATATAATTATTAAACTGAATATGCTAATATTCCAGTGGTCCATTTGTCTCGTCAATGGAAGGAGCATTTAGTATGATAGCTTTTTCTGCTTCAGTTAATAAGCAAGCTCATGCCTATGGATTTCAGAGCTCTCCAGATAAAAGATGGAAAGGTAAATGGAGGGGAACCTGATTCTTAAAATATATAGGACTAGAGTTATCACAGCAATTGGGTATCTAGGAGGGCTAACACATGCTATGATGTTAGGATTTTTAATGATACCAATGGCTCAATTTAACTGGCATCTGAGGGACAATACTTTCAGATAATCAAAAGGATGAAGTATTTAGCAGGCAACTATACCTAGCGGTGCTGCAAATTTGTTTCAGTGAAGGCAGGAAATTGGTGAAAGCATGGTTAGGTAGCAGGCTGCGGGTCCTGGCCTGACAAATGTCTTTTTCTTACTCTTCCTAACACATTTCCCAATATAACATTGCCAGTGTACCTCTGTTTTCTGAGCAGGTAGGGAATAGGGAATTGAAATAATGTACATAATTCTCTTAACCAAAGTATACATTTTACTATAGTTGGAAATATGTAACCTGGGCTATTTTATAGACACATAAACTACTTTTATTTTTCTTTTTTGTGGCAATTCTTCTCAACTACTGTATATTGAAGACATTATTTCTAAACTGCCTTTTAATATTCTTTTTAAAGTCTCATCCTCTATAAAATTAAAACTTCCTTGATTATAATGATTGTGCCACATTGCTTTCTTTTTAAAAAACAAATCAAGATACATTAAGAATATCCAATTCATATTTTTATAGTAAATAAGTTTTTAAAAGTCAAGTACAATGTGTTAATTACTAAAGTAATATTAGTGAAGTAATGTGCTTCTTTTAGCTGATATCTTCTAAGATACTTTTTGATAGTGTATGGATATTCTCTTTAGATGTGTAAATGACCTTTTTTTTCAGAGTGGCAATTATGTTGCATCTTACATTTACTTAAGAAAGATAAAATTATATAGGAGAAACCACACACACACAAACATACATACATACACAATCTGTATCCAGATTGTAGTTGTTGAGATGAGGAAAATATTGCAATGAGTTACATAATTAGTCAGTTACAAAACTTTTCCTGTGAGCAAATAGCAATCCATCTCAGTGCAATGTGCCAAGTGAGACCATTCCAGCAATAACCATTAAGACTCAGAACAGAAAAGCTAAAGCACACCAAACAGAAAGAAAGATCGACTCATTAAAACTAAATTCTCCTTTCCCCACAGGATACCCTTGAACATTCTCCTTAATATGGAGAATTCTGGCTGACATTTGCAAGAACCATTTATAACTCAGATCCTGGATGAATTGCAGAAAAAGATGGGTGCTACATGCACAGCAGAAGTCTTAGGCTTTTTTTCTAATTTGGCAGAAAAGATTCTCAAACATTCTTAACAGAATTTGCTATTACATCTCTATGTGAATTCCTTTACGATTTTAAAAACCATTATCATGTTTTTGTAAGTTAGTCCTAATTTACATTTTAATTTGACAAATGTCTTGATTAAAGCAGATTTTATGAATTGCACCTGGGTAGCTGGTACTACCGGCATTTCACATTTTTTAACATTGATGATTTATACTAATAACTTTTCAAAATGTCTATTAAGCCAAATGAGTACTTTTTTACATAAGAAATTATGTTAAGCAAAACCAGCTTATTCATTTCTCTTATTTGATGTTACTTGTAATGTTGTTGCAGCCTATTTTATACACATTGACTTATCTGACTTATTACTAATTCTGATTTGAAGATATTTCATCATTTTTTTTCATTTTGTTATTTAGTAATTAAAATAATTTCTAGGCCCTGATTAGTTTTAATTAAATTCAATCTATTATATTAAAATAATCTAATAGAAGGCATTTCAACTGTTTCAAACTTATTAAGCAATTTGTTAATAATGATATCAAATAAATATATAAGCTATTCAATTTGTGGAGAAAAATCTATAATCAAAAGTTAAGGATTTGTTTTAAAACACTCCAAAATAAGCTTTAGAAGATACTTGTAATATTGTGCATAAATATTTTTATATAAAAATAAAATTTCTTCAAAAATAACATTTATAACTATGGACTCTATATAGGCCAGTATTTTAAAAAGTGTAATGTATGAGGTATAAAATTATTGATCTAATAAATTAATATTTTTATTTTAGGAAAAGTATTTGCATTGATATTTTTACCCTACTTTTCATTTCCTTGTGAAATATAGACTGATTCCATTTACAAAGCATGGTGCAAGCTAACATTTACTTACTATGTTTATATGGCTTATCCTCAGTAACACCTTTCAATTTTAGGTAATGTAACCTTTTAATTTTTAATCAAAACTGAGTCCCATTTGAGTGTAGAAGAGTACTAATAATAGGTAATTTGTTGCTATAGAAAATCGAACCAGTTCTGGACTGAAACTGAATTTTACTAGCTTGGATGAGCTGATTGTTAAAAAAAAGTTTTGTAAGCCAGGTTTTAAAAATGATTCACTTGAATTGGTCACCACAGTGGTAATTTTTTCACCATGGAAATCAGCTAATGCTAAAAATTAGGACCTGCACTCCCCAGCAGTTGTTGAACATTCACTAGAACACCACTGACCTGGAACATTTTAAGGATGAAAGGATACACTTAATTATGCCAAAGCACAGGAGTAAACCAAGACTGCTCCAGGTAACTGAGCAATGTTACGATCTTCATTGTAGGTCTTATTTTAGGTTGTTAAGAATAGTCATGAAATGTGTTTATTCTTGAAGTTTCTTGAAGTATTCACGAGGTTTCGTGTTGCGGTGACATAATGTTATTAAAGAAACATGAATACGGCATAGTAGGGGCAGTTATTAAAGAAACATGAATACAGCATATTAGGGGCTTATTAATACTGCTCTCAAATCTATTCTTCACACCACAGGTGGAATGATGATTTAATGTAACATAGGCATTCTTCTGGTCTAAAATATTCAAAGGCATCCCATGCCAGTAAGGGTAAAGTCCAACATGCTTGATATGGGTTTTACTAAGAACAATTGACCTGCTGTTTGATTTCATCCCTGGTCTCATTTTTTATTACTTACCTTGAATCATACTGAAAGGATTTCTTTTCTATTTGTTTTAATGTATTGTGTGCTCCTTTGCCCTCAGAAATTTGGACATGTTCTTTTGTCTGCTTGGAATCACCTTTAGTTCATTTCAGTAGGTAACTCATTCCTTTCTCAAAGAATGGCAAAATAACCCATTCTTTGTATGCTAGACCTGTGTGTCTGCAGGAATCTGTTCCTGAGTGCTGATTTGGTTTTCTGCTTTTGATTTCTGAATCAAATCTGGAATTTTCATCTATTTCAAGGTCATTATTGATCAATATACTCTGTGTGCTCCACATCTAACCAGTTTTGAGTATTGTAGACCTTACAGAGTAATTCATAAGAACACATATTCCTCTAATGATGGGCATCTTATATATCTAGGTCTGGAGCTTTAAGTATCAACTTTATGTTGATTACTCCAAAATACATTCCATCACACACAAGGTCACCCCGAATTCTAAATTTGTAATATTTCAAACCTGTAAATTTAACATTTTAATTTCATAGCTAATAGACTTTTCTTTCCTGGAATGTCCAAAGTGAACTTGTGGCCCCTGACACTTTCAGAATGTTTCTGATGTCAGGAAATGATATCAACAAACTACCCAGCATCTCAAGCCCAAAACACCTAAGTTATTTTTTATTTCTAATCATTTTCACTACACACATACTCCTCCCAGTAATTCTGGTCAATATATCACAAATCTTTTACTCTTCACCATCTCCAGTGCTGATCAACTGCATAAAAGTTGCAGGTATTTATGGTTCAGGACACCAGTCACTGCAGTACATGCTGAACTGCTCTGCGGGCTCTGCTCTTGTCCACCTCCCTCTTTCCACTATCCATTCTTCAGAGTGTTCTTTTTGAAATAGAATTCTTTTTTAACAACATTCTGTTATTATTAAAGTCTTCAAATAAGTTTTCCAATTTACTTATAATAATATGTGAGCTCCTTAATTGAACAACAGGGTTAATTGTCTCCCCTGCCTATTCAGTATCACTTTTATGAATTCAAAATATCTGAGACAGGTCTCAATCAATGTTGAAAGTTTATTTTGCTAACGTTTAGGGCATGCGGATGACACAGCTGCAGGAGGTCCTGAGAACATGAGCCCAAGGTGGCCAGGGTACATTTTAGGGAGGCATGAGACATCAATCAATGTATTGTAAGATGTACATTGGTTTGGTCTGGAAAGGTGGCACAACTAGAAGCAAGGGCTTCCAGATCATATGTAGACAAAATATAAAAGGCTGCATTCTTTGCGGTCCTTGATCAGCCTTTCACTGAATACACAATTTAACCTGGCTCAGTAAAACTGCATTTTCACATAAACAGTAGGGCAGAGGAAGCACTATCATATGCATTTGTCTCAGGTGAGCAGAGGGATGACTTTCTATCCAGGACCTGTGAGGATAAGCCATCAGTTTATATTGCCAGTGAAATTTAACTGAACTCTTTTTGGGTAAAGATCTTGAGGCCCACAAGGAATTATCTTGGGGGCAAATTGCGAGGGAGGTTTGTAGCTTTTTTTTTTTTTTTAATCTTTGTAGCGATCTTATTTAGGAATAAAATGGGAGCCAGGTTTCCCTGAAGTTGTTCCCAGCTTGACTTTTCCCTTGGCGTAGTGATTTGGGGATCTCAAGATTTATTTTATTTTTTCACACTTGGCTACAACTATCTCCCTACTGAATTATCTTCACACTACACACACAGCCACCTTCTTTATATGTCTTGTGCCTAAGATATATTGCTGCTGCCTTAAGTCTTTGCAGTATCTGACTCTTCTACTCAGAATCATCTTCCCGAATTCTTCACAGAGTTGACTTTTGTTATAAATTAGTTCTGAAATTAAATATCATCCATATCAGTTTCCTAACAGAGTACCACAAACTAGGTTGATTAAAATAACAATTTATATCTCACAGTTCTGGAGACTAGAAGTTCAAAATCAAGGTACTGGCAGTGTTCATTCCTGTTGAGGGCTCTGAAAAACAATCTACCCCACGCCTTGCTCCTAGCCTTGGATTCAGAAAGCTTTGGCATGCCTTGGTTTGTAGATGTAGCATTCTAATCTCTGCCTCTCTATTCACGCAGTGCTCTCCCTTCTGTCTCTGTGCCTACATGTTTCTCTTTTTTTAAGAACAACAATCACATTAGATTAGGGCCCATTCTAGTGACCTCCTCTTAATTGTCTTACATCTCCAAAGACCTTCTTTTGAAATAAGGTTACATTGACAAGTACAAGGTTTGGCGCTTCCATACACCTTTTTGGAAAGCACAGTTCAATCTATAATATCACCTTCTCTGGGTATGTTTTAAGTAAAACATCCCACTCACTCGCATAATGTGGTATCTAGTTTTCATCATAGCACTGATCATTATCTGTTATTTTTGATTAAGGGTTTGTTGTATGCCTTCCCCCAAACAAGTGATAAATTCCCTTAGAAAGTGACATCTGCTGTTGTTTGTTCTGTTGATTTTCTAGCTCTAGTGCCCAGAAGAGTGCATAGTATACAGTAAAAACAATATAAATGTGAATTATTAATAATGCATTTATTATAATTTGTATTATCCCTAATATAGCTATTATAATATCTGTTCATTTTAATAATGCTATTACAATATGTGATATATTATATATGCCATTTTAATTTTGCCCTTACATTATAATCAGGATTTTCTACTTAATGACCAGTCAACATTACGGTAAATGTTTTGTGACTTTTTTTTTTTAATCCAATAGAACATAATACAATTCAAGAGTGAATCTCTCTCCATTACATCAGTGTAGCACAAAATCCGGTTTTTGGCAGTGTTCCCAGACAATCAGGGTTACAAAGTCATCTTGTCCTTTACATTTGTGTATAATAGAGAAACCTGAATCATTGTGATATATTGCAATGTTACTGAGAGGAGTTGACCTCATTCTGAAAGTCACATGATTATTTTCACTGTCAGAAGCAATTTATAAAATTGATAATCATTATATTAATTTAAAATAAAATAAATCATGGAATAAGAATTAAAGCCACTACAAATCTATCAAGTAAAAAATTATAATCAAGCAGAATGTTATTTTATCAAGAATTTAATGTAATTCTTTCAATATAGCATGAGCTAACCTGTAGAACCAGATAATTTTTGAATTGTATTATACTGATGATTTGTATATTTTTTTAAAATGGTAAAATCTAAATCTATGAGAAACTGGCCTACGCATCGTAGTTTAGATTTTCAAAGTTTTCACATATTTCCATATTTTAAAATTAGCAAATTCTTCATGACAGTTACTAGATTTATTGGTCTTTCGGACCACTACTATGCAAAATATTGAATTGTAGCATAATTTATGAAAGTTGTAAATTCTACCCAATGTAATTGAAAACTAAATATTTGCCATATACATTTTAGTAAGTTTAAAAAAGAAATAGTATATAGCAGTGCTACTAATTTGTGTAAATTGATTTGATAACTTGAGACTTTACTGAATTCATTTATCAAATCTTGGAGTTTTGGGAGGTGTCTTTAAGGTTTCCTAGGTATACAATCCTATCATCAGAAAACAGAGATAGTTTGACTTCCTCTCTTCCAGCTTGGATGCCCTTTATTTCTTTCTCTTGCCTGATTGTTCTGGCTAGAGCTTCCTCAAATTTTATTCTAATGCATTTTCTTTTAAGTCTTTTAAGTAAGCTAGAGCCAGTTTTTCTTGCTTGCAGTAACAAAATTCTATTTTATGCTTCCTGCAATGTATCTTATTTTAAGATGACTACTTTTGTCTTTTTAAAATGTTCAGTTCATTGAGTTTTTTTTTTTTTTTTTTTTTTAGAGGGAGTCTCGCTCTGTCGCCAAGGCTGGAGTGCAGTGGCACTATCTTGGCTCACTGCAAGCTCTGCCTCCCAGGTTCACGCCATTCTCCTGCCTCAGCCTCCCAAGTAGCTGGAACTACAGGCTCCCGCCAAGACGCCTGACTAATTTTTTTGTATTTTTTAGTAGAGACGGGGTTTCACCGTATTAGCCAGGATGGTCTCAATCTCTTGACCTCATGATCCTCCCGCCTCAGCCTCCCAAAGTGCTGGGATTACAGGCGTGAGCCACAGTACCCGGCCCATTGAGTTGTTTTTTAATTTTAATTTTTATGGGTACCTAGTCTGTGTACATATTTATGGGGTACATATTTTGATAAAGGCATACAATATGTAATAATCACATCAGAGTAAATGGGGTATCCATTACCGCACACAGTGTTTTTGTGTGTGTTATGAACATTATAATTATACTCTTTTAGTTATTTTTCAATGTACTATAGATTATTGTTTTTCATTGAGCGTTAATGATTCTATTCATATATGGCATGACCAGTCAAAAGAGATACCTTCTGGAGCAGGTTCTTGAATAACATTATTTCATTCAACTTCATTTCAGTATAATGTTGATGAGAAAAAAAAATTGACTCCCGGCAGCGCCACTCTCTGTGTGGAGTTTGCATGTTTTCCTCATGTCAGCGTGGGTTTTCTCAGGGCACTTCAATTTCCCCCAACATCCCAAAGCTGCGCACATTGAGTTCGTTCCCGTGTCTACATTGTCCCAGTCTGAGTGAGTGTGGGTGTGTGAGTGAGTATGCCTTGCCATGGAACAGTGTTTTGTCTAGGGTTGCTTCCTCACCTCTGAGCTGCTGGGATAGGCTTGACCCAGAACTGAAATTACTGGGTGAATAATAATCTTACTTGATTTATTAATATTTTGTAAATATAAATATAGGTAGAGTTCACATTTATTTCAATATTTAATATTAAAAGTGTTTTGTGTTTTTATTTGGAAGTTTGGTGATGTTTTTCTCACCAGAAATATGCCACAGGAACTTAACTCTTATTTATATTCATTGGCCTATACAAATTTTGTTATGCAAAATTTCATGTAAAGTGGTGGTTTTCAAGGACCTATTGACAAAGTTAGGTGAGGATTGACTATTTTCTTCACCTTAACGAGTTTTCTCATGCCATTTTCCAGCCAAACCCCTTCCAGAGACCAGTTCATCACAAGTGCATTTTTATAACCCAATGACCTCCTGGTAATTGCCCTGTTCAGGGAGATCTTGAGTTTGAATATGAGCTTTGCCATTATTCCAGTTCTGCCAGCCTCTAACCCTATAAATTAGCATATGCCAAACCTTCCTGTCTTTTAATACATATATATTTTAAGTTTGTCAAAATTAGAAAAAAATACCTTTTGAGTCATATTTTTTGTTTCATTTTATGTTTATGCTTATTCTCAAAAAAGAATAGTTTATCTTAAAGTATATTGTATTTTTTGTGGAAAATGGACTGGTAACCCTCTCCTATTTTCAGTATGAAAAAAATGTGTTTCAGGAAAATAAATGTATCAGCTTTCCTATAAGACTACCATAATATTTAAAGTAACTGGAGAAGATGCTTGTATTTAGTTTGTTTTATTCTTTTAAAACAAATACACAATAATGAAGATCTCATTTGTAACTTCCCAAATTTTCTGTCTTTCATACTTGATTCTCAAATTAATGAAATAAGTAGATTGTATTCTATCTTTATATTATTACTCATTAATTTTGGGAAAAATGCTTCAATAATGGCTTTTGGAGAAAATGAAAAGATGCCACATTAATTGTAGACAACCATTTTAAGATATATTTCATTCCGCCCCACTGGCTGCTCTGAAAAGCCATCTTTGCATTGTTCCTCCTTGCTCGCCGCAGCCGCCTCCGCCGCGCGCCTCCTCCGCCGCCGCGGACTGCGGCAGCTTTATCGCCAGAGTCCCTGAACTCTCGCTTTCTTTTTAATCCCCTGCATCGGATCACCGGCGTGCCCCACCATGTCAGACGCAGCCGTAGACGCCAGCTCCGAAATCACCATCAAGGACTTAAAGGAGAAGAAGGAAGTTGTGGAAGAGGCAGAAAATGGAAGAGACGCCCCTGCTAACGGGAATGCTAATGAGGAAAATGGGGAGCAGGAAGCTGACAGTGAAGTAGATGAAGAAGAGGAAGAAGGTGGGGAGGAAGAGGAGGAGGAAGAAGAAGGTGATGGTGAGGAAGAGGATGGAGATGAAGATGAGGAAGCTGAGTCACCTACGGGCAAGCGGGCAGCTGAAGATGATGAGGATGACGATGTCGATACCAAGAAGCAGAAGACCGACGAGGATGACTAGACAGCAAAAAAGGAAAAGTTAAACTAAAAAAAAAGGCCGCCGTGACCTATTCACCCTCCACTTCCCGTCTCAGAATCTAAACGTGGTCACCTTCAAGTAGAGAGGCCCGCCTGCCCACCGTGGGCAGTGCCACCCACAGATGATACGCGCTCTCCACCACCCAACCCAAACCATGAGAATTTGCAACAGGGGAGGAAAAAAGAACCAAAACTTCCAAGGCCATGCTTTTTTTCTTAAAAGTACTTTAAAAAGGAAATTTGTTTGTATTTTTTATTTACATTTTATATTTTTATACATATTGTTAGGGTCAGCCATTTTTAATGATCTCGGATGACCAAACCAGCCTTGGGAGCGTTCTGTCCTACTTCTGACTTTACTTGTGGTGTGACCATGTTCATTATAATCTCAAAGGAGAAAAAAACCTTGTAAAAAAAGCAAAAATGACAACAGAAAAACAATCTTATTCTGAGCATTCCAGTAACTTTTTTGTGTATGTACTTAGCT
This sequence comes from Homo sapiens, assembly GCF_000001405.40. Lineage (NCBI taxonomy): Eukaryota > Metazoa > Chordata > Mammalia > Primates > Hominidae > Homo > Homo sapiens. Next base: position 81,690,905 of record NC_000013.11, read on the forward strand.
GTACTATAAGGAGTTGGTTTGTATGAGATGGTTAAAAAGGCCAAAGATAAAAGGTTTATTTTTTTTCCTTTTTTGTCTATGAAGTTGCTGTTTATTTTTTTTGGCCTGTTTGATGTATGTGTGAAACAATGTTGTCCAACAATAAACAGGAATTTTATTTTGCTGAGTTGTTCTAAAAAAAAAAAAAAGATGTATTTCATTCCAACTACAAAGACATTACAAGTGTTTGAGATGGTAAACAAACTGATTATCATAATTTGATCAATATGCAATGTACACATGTACTGAAACATCACACTATACCCTATTAATATGTACAATGATTATGTGTCAAATAAATAATTATAAAAAGTAAAATTGGGGGAAAAAAGGCTTATGAATGGTTATATTATCTATTTTAAACTGTTTTCATTGTTCAATTAAATAACAGAATAACATATTGAGTTTTTACAACTTTAAAAATACTCTAATATTGTTTTTCTTTTGGAGAGAGCTGAAATACTTATTCTTCTCTTTGGATAAGAGCTCTCATATTTAATAAAGTATGTTTTTAAATATATGGCTTTCACAACAATTACCCTAATCTGATTATATCTTTGAGGATAGATTTACAAATACATATTGATAGCTAATATGTACTGTAAACCATTGTTTAGTTCAAAATAATATAAAATTACGAAAATGGCTTATATTCTTCTATATGGTTTTCAATTTGGATGATATTTTGTTAATTATGCTTTGGTAGAAAAAATTATTTGTAACGTTAGGGATTTTGAAGCTTTATAAAATTATTTTTGTAAGATTTATAACAGCTTATTTTAATAATCATCTATTTCAGAAGATAAATAATTCAACAAATTAATGTTTGACAATTAAAAATAAATTTTGAGGTCTACATAGTAACATGTGTGTATATATGTAATATATAATTTTTTTTCATAAGCCAATTCATACTGAGAGCATTCTGCCTGGCACCTATATTAAATCAACTCAATGCAAGTTCAATAATAAATAGTGTAACATTTAAGACAACTAACAGTATTTTATTGTATGATAATGAATCAACCTGAAAACAGAAACCTATTACTAATGGTATTAAACTCTAAAACATTACATATTATGTCTCAAAAAAATAAGCTTGTTGAAAGGCCACATGTATTAAGAAGACAAATTTTAAACACCACACTTGGACTACAATGTGAGCCTTAGTTAATGTCATTTACAGATCACTGAAATTTTTGGCTTCACACTACAATAGCCCCATCCAGAAAAAGTAGGCTGACTAGATTTAATTAGAACTTATAGATGTGATGAATCTTGGCTTCTAAAAGCAGAAATGGCATTGATTAGAGCAGTAGCATAGTGATGTGAAATGAGCAAGAGTTTGGAGCCACAGAAAAAGGTTAGGTTTAGAAATTCCATCATTACCAGTTTTGTCACTCTGCAAAAGTTATTTGATTTCTAAGCACCCCATTATCTGCCTCTGCAGAATCTGCAATGCTCACATAATTTTTGAATAATATGCCAATAGTGTAGAATAGTAGTTAACACAGTAAGCTCTGGAATAAGACAGACTTGCTTGAGATAATGCCACCATAACTTACTAGATCTGTCACTGTGGACTTATCCTACACCAATGGTACCTAATGATAGGAATATGTGTGTCTTCTTATGGCTATTTTAAAGGGATCAGGAAACAGAGATACACTCTAATCATATTTCTTGGTCCATAGTGATCAATAAATACATTTAACTATTTTCACAAGCAGGATGCTTACATGCTACTTTGCTCATGCGACGTGGTATGGTCTGAAAAGGTAATCTTCATGTGATTACTCTATACTTTTTTTTTGCTATTATTAACAGATATGAGGCAGCAGGTACAGTGAAAAGTCTGCTCTTTGGAGACATGTGAATACTGGCTTCATTCACCACTTACCGGATATTGATTTTATGCAAGCATATGTTTGCTTGTCAACTTATAATTTGTATGAAAAGCTGTTTATGAACATGACTACTCTAGATGCAAGTTAAGGCCCTAGAAGAGCTTAGCAGGACACAACAAATACATATTCAACCGTCATGCAATGGACATGTCCATGAGCATGAAGTCTAGAGCAAACAAGAATAAAAGTAGAGAAGAGAGCTTGCACTGTCAGAAACAACTAAATTTTATTTAACATTAATGTTTTCTTATTTAATTCATGCTGCTTTCATTTCTTTGGCTGTTTTCTTGTGGTGGTGGTTGTTTTTCATTGTAACTGTTTTTTATTTGTTCTTTTATGGAAATTAAAGAAAAGAGCTGACAACCATATCTGTGTTATTTGAGTTCATTATTATCTGGAATCTGTAGAGAAATCAAAAGATGATAGAGTGAGCATTTCACTAACTAATGCATCAGAAACAGCAGCTCATAGCCAGATTTAAATTTGCAAACCTTATACCTGCCTCTCACTTATTGAACATGGCATAAGGTTACAGGAAATTTTATTTGAAGCTCAAAAGGAAATATACCTCTGCTGATATGTGAGTTGCTGAAGTGTCCAAACCAATTGTGGAATACAGTTTCTTGATGAGTAAAATAGGTGTAACGAGAGCTATCTTACCAGTTTTTCTATAAAAAGTAAATGCCATGAGCGTTCAAATTTGCTGCATTTTGTTCTTCATTAGCTGTCCAGGAATCATCCCAAAAGTACAAACAAATGTTTGTTCTGGGGATTAAATCAAACAGCACCAAGTGCAATACAAAGTACATAAAATAAATAGACAATGTTAGTTAATTATTTTATCTTATATTTTAATAGCTTATGAGTAAATAGCATTAATATACCCTAAAATAGACTACATATGTTTTGTATGTGAATACCTATAACACATGTGCACTACGCTTGGTGCTGTAAATACAAAGTGAAGACCTTCTAAATAAATCAAGGATGCCTTTGTTTTTGTATTATATGAGGTCCTTGATTTGCTCAGGGAATAATTTCCACCATCTCTCTTATCTCTGATTATGGATACCTTGTTAATACGTTAATTGATTTTTAATACTTCAGAAATACAAATGAAACACAACCATTACGAAAGTAAAGCAATATATGAAACAAAAAAAATAACAGCAAAATACAACACAAAACTTCACAATCCAAAGTTATCCATTATTAACTTTAGGTAAGCATTTTCTCAGGTGATTGGAGAGAGTTATTATATATTATATATTATATTATATATTTTATATATAATATATAAATAAAATATATATATTATTTATATTATATAATATATATTATATATAATATATATTATATATAATATATTATATGTATTATATATAATATATATTATATATATGTGTTATATATATATATATAGGTAGCTTTCCTTGTGAAAGAAATGTTTGTCCATATATAATTGGGCTATTTCTGTTTTAACTGTAGCTTTTTAAGAGGCATGTATATATTCTCAGTATAATTCCTTTGTCTATTACACATGTAATAAATATTTTATCCGAGTCTGTGTATGTTGATGGCGAGTATCTTTTTGTGTTTTCTGGAAACATTTGAAGAGCAGAAGTTTTTACTTTCATATAGTATGCTTTGTGATAATTTTGTTCTATGGCTTGTGCTTTTGTGTTATTAATCTAAGGAATATTTACTTATCTGAAGTTGAGAAATATTGTATCTCATTCATATCTTCTTTTAGAAGTTTCTATTTATAGATTTGATAGTTATGTCTATGGTTAATTTTAGGTTACTTTTTGAGCATGGTATGATATCAGATTTGATGTTCTTTTATTCCTCTATGGAGATTCTGTTAACACCATTTGCTACACAGACTTTTCTTTCTCCGTTGAAGTGGTTTTATAGCTGTATGTGGATTTACTTCTGGACAATTTATTTTGTCCAATTTTTCTATATGTCTACCTTTCATTGTTAATAAACTGTATTGATTAATGTAGCTCCATAGGAAATAGTGAACTCATATAAGAAAAATTATCTAAATTTGTTATTTTATAATATCTGTCATTTTCTAGCTTCTTTATATTTGCCTTTAAATTTAGAATTTTCTTGTAAGGTATACAAATCAGCCTCTCAACATTTGTATTAGAATTCTGTTTTATCTGTATATCAATTTGAGAAAGATTGCCATCTAAAGAGTGTTGAGTCTCCTGATTTGTTAACAAGGCATCTTGCTGCATTTATTTAGAACTTTACTATCAATAATGTGCTATAGTTTTTGCTGTAGAATTGCAGACATCTTCTACTATTCATAGATATTTAAAGTTCTTTCACACCACTCTACTTGTAATTATTTATAATTACTGAATATTTTCAAAATTTTTATAAAGTATATAAAAATATTATTTGTTTGATACTAACCTTTTTTCTGCTTTCTCACTAAATTCCTTTATTATTTCTTGTTATCATTAAATCTTTTGGATATTCTAAATAAAAAATTATGCAAAGTACAAATATGGACAGTTTCACTAGTTCCTTTCCCATGTTTATGACTTTTACTATTTTTTTTGTAGTTGTTGTCTTATTGTAATAGCTAGAACCTCTAGTACATCAATGCAAAGAAATGGTAAAGATGAGCATGTTTGCCTTATTTAAAATCTCAGGAGGAAACTGTTTTGAGGCGATGACTTTTCCCTAACCTTAATTTCTTTCCCTGGGGGGCCCATGAATTAAACTGCAAAAAAGCAAATTAACAGGAGAGAGAGAGAAAAAAATATTTGTAGGAACAAAAGGAAAAAAAAAGCTAGCAAAAGAATAGGCAGAGTTCATTAAATGGTTAAAGTTAGAGGCTTATATACCTACCCCAGTAGAGAAAAGACAGGTAGAGAAAAGGGGCTATTATGTGAAGAACAAACAGGTTTCTTTATGCAGAAAACTTTTTGTTGTTTTTTGTTTGCTTTTAAGGAGGACAAATAGAAGATAAGAAAGCTCCTGGTAACGTTTGCTTATTCAGGTACTCAAGGGCTTTAGGTCAGCTTTTTGGCCATGAAACTCCTCTGGAGAAGGGGTTTATGGTAGTCTCATTTCCTAGAAGTTCCTGCTATTAGTCAGATAAAGGAAGCTCAGAGAAGTCCTCTCTGAATTCACAGAATCTCAAATGTCTTCAGCTTAAAATAATCTGCATATCAACACTAGAACTCTGAGATGGTCCTCACAAAACCATTCAATCTTTCACTGTTAAATATGATACTGACTGTAAATTTTTTATAGACACCTTTTATAAATTTGAGGAAGATTTCTATTATTCCTATTTGTGGACCTTTTTCTTAAAAATATGAAAAGCTTTTAAATTTTTGGAATGAATTTTTTGTATATATTAAAATGGTCTATGGTATTCCTATTATATTTACTTTATAAAGTGAATTATATTTTTTTGAACGCCAAACACTTTGCATTCCCAGGGTAAACTCTTTTTGGTCATAATATCTTATTCATTTTATGTATTGTCAGAATTAATTTGATAATGTCTTATAAAGAATAATGTTTAAAATGGATTAAGACTAAATTTAAGACTTCTAAGAATAAAACTGCTAAAGTAGAACATTGGGAAAAGTCTCCAGGACATTGGTCTTGGCAAAAGTTTATTGAGTAATACCCCAAAAGCACAGGCAATCACAGCAAAAATGGACAAGTGGAATTACATCAAGTTAAAAAGCTTCTGCACAGCAAAAGGAAACAATCAACAAAGTGAAGGAACAACCCACAGAAGGGGAACAAATATTTGCAAACTACCTGTCTGATAAGAGATTAATAACCAGAATGTATAAGGAGCTCAAACAACTCTATAGGAAAAAAATCTAATAATCAGACTAAAAATGGGCTAAAGATCTGAATAGACATTTCTCAAAACAAGACATACAAATAGCAAATAATTATATTAAAAAGTACTCCACATCATTGATCATCAAGGCAATGCAAATCAAAACTATTAGATAGCATCTCGCCCCAGTTAAAATGGCTTTTATCCAAAACACAGCAATCACAAATGCTGGTGAGGATGTGGAGAAAGGGAACCCTCCTACACTATACTTGGAATGTAAATTAGTACAGCCACTGTGGATAACAGTATGGAGGTTCTTCACAAACTAAAAGTAGAGTTACCATATGATCCAGCAATCCTACTGTAAGGTATATACCCAAAATAAAGGAAATCAGTATAACACAGAGCTGTCTCCACTCCCACGTTTATCGAAGCACTATTCACAATAGCCAAGATGTGGAAGCAACTTAAGTGTCCACCAACAGGTGAACAAATTTTTTTAAATGTGGTACATATACACAATGGAGTAATATTTGGCCATAAAACGAATGAGATCCTGTCATTTGCAACAACATAGATGAAGCTGGTGGGCATTATGTTAAATGAAATAAGCCAGGCATAGAAAGATAAACTTCACATGTTCTCACTCATTTGTGGAAGCTAAAATATTAAAACAACTGGACTTATGGAGATAGAGAGTAGAATGATGGTTACCAGAGCTTGGGAAGGGTGGTAGGGCTGGTGGGTGGGGAAAAGTGGGGATGGTTAATGGGTACTAAAACATAGTTAGCTAGAATGAGTAAGACCTAGTATCTGAGAACACAACAGGGTGACTGCAGTTAACAGTAATTTATTGTATATTTAAAAATAAAAGAGAATAATTTGAATATTTGTGACACAAAGAAAGGATAAATGCCTGAGGTTATGGATACCCCATGCATCTTGATGTAGTTATTACACACTGTATGCCTATATAAAAGTATCTCATGTATCTCATAAATAAGTAGACCTCCTATCCTACTATGTACCCATAAAAATTAATTTAAAAAATGAAAAAATAAAAAATGTTTATATTAATGAGGGGTATTAATGTTTATCTTTTTTATTATTGTGTACAAGTTCTATGATCTTGTTGCAGCTTTTTCACTCCCATAGTTTGGCGGTAGGAGGGTCACAGCTCTTTTACTCCTACAGTTCAGCAGATTCCAGGTCCTTATCTCACGACCAATAGGAATAAGATACACAGACACCAGAGAGGGGATAAGGTGGAGTAGAATTTATTGAGCAAAAGAAAAGCTCTTGACAGAAAGAGGGGACCCAAAAGTGGGTAGCCGGCTGTGAGGCTGAGTCTGGGGTTTTTATGTGCTTAGAATGGGGAAATGTGTGATTGGTCTATGGGTAGGCTTGGAAAAGGAACCCTTCGATTGGCTTGTGGAAAAAACCAATTGGGAGAAAGTATGCATATGCAATATAGTCTTGGAAAAGGCACCATTCCATTAGTTACAAGGCATCATTCAGAAAGAACCAATAGAGAGACAGTGGGCAAAATGGGAATGGAAATACCCACTGAAGTCTGTGGATTCTATCCGGAGCTGGTAACTCGTTTTTCAGGCTTTAGATTGTCCTTGGCTTAAAGGTCAAGTTTCACCAGGGACCCATCCCTATCTGTCTAGGAATTTGTCTCTCTCCTGTCACTATCAATCTCATAGAATAGTTTAGGTGGATGTGATTTCTATTATTCCAATATCTGAAAAAGTTTGTATAACTTTGATGGTATAACTTTTTTAATGTTTGATAGATTTCCTTATTAAATTCGTGTTTGCTTGAAAGTTACTTCATGAAATGATTTTTTAACACATTCTATTTGATGATAGATATAAAGCTTTCAGTATTTTTCCCTTTCTTGTCAATTTTTTGTTCTGGTCATTAAGACTATTATCACAGAATGCCATTTGTCATACTGTCTTATTATCCTATAAATGGCAATAGGGTCTGTGTTATTCAATTCTTGATGTGATGTTTTGTGTTCTCTCTCTCTTTTTTCCCCCCAGGATCAGTCTAGCTGTAGAAAATCTGCCTATGTTTTTGATCGTGTCATCCTTTTGTTTTATTACTGTTGAATATTATCTGCCTGGTATTTGTTTTGTTTTTAATATCTTGCTGATTTCATTCTTTCTATTTTTTTTTTTGACTATGGTTTACTTCTTCCAGTTCTTTAAGGTGTAACATTGTGTTATGTCAGAAAAGTCTCAAAATACAACAAAATAAAAAAAATCCAAGACATTCACCACCCTGTAGGTCATCTCTGTTAGTTTTGCCTAATTTCCACAATCTGCCAAATTTTTTTTGGTTGTTTTTTTTGTTACTGTTTAGTTGGTTGTAACTATGGTTAGTTTTTACAGTTTGGGGTTCAAGAGTAATGTGCTATTTAGTTTTACATAACTGGGGGCACCAAACTGCCGAATAAAAGTATATAGACATTATTAAATGTAACTTCAGGTCAGTTGTGGTGGCTAAGCCTATAATCCAAGAACTTGGGGAGGCTGAGTGGCAGGATCACTTGAGCCCAGGAGTTCAAAACCAGCTTGGGCAACACAGGGAGATTTCATCTCTACAGAAAATTTAAAAATTAGCTGTGATGTATGCTGCTCAGGAAGCTGAGGTGAGAGGATTGCTTGAACCTGGAAGGTCAAGGCTGCAGTGAGCTGTGATTGTGCTGTTGCACTCCAGCCTGGGTGACAGAGGGAGACCCTGTCTCAAAAAAAAAAAAAGAAAAAAGAAAAAGAAGCAACTTCAATTTGACAGAAGAGGAAATGAATAGAAAAAAAATGTTTAAATGAGTTAGTTTTTTAGTACAAAGAAAACAAATTTTTAAGAGACTTAAAAATTATAAAATTATAAAATAACTATAAAGTTAAGACAATTGAATAATTATATTTAGACTTTGTTACTTTTCTTTTGTATAAGATGATATTAAGACATCTATATAAGTATATATCATTTCTAATGACTCCATATACAAACTCTTGTACTATCCATTTATTTTGATATATCTTTCAAAAGACTAATTTAAATGATCTAAAAAATTATATTAAGATGAATGTGGAACAACCTCTACTGACTGTTCAAGGATATTGTGCATATTACTGTGGAAATTCATTTCTTATTTTCCTGTCTGGAATCTACTGCCCTGAATTGCATGTATTCCTACATTTTTCTTTTCTTCCTTTGTGGATTTTTTTCTGTACACACCCCACCCCCGACACACACACACGATCCTCATAGAATATCCTCAGGTGGTGAATGTGGACATATTTGAAAATAATATGGCAACAAACTTGATTAAGTGTTGATGGCCTGAATGTAGGATACAATATTAAATGAAATTATTTTTGCCTTATAAATTTGAAGTGAACTTATTACATTATCTCATGTTGCTCAAGAGCCATTTGAGAACATGATATTCCTTCCTCTTTTACCTTTTTGTTATGTTTAGAAAACTTTAAAATTTTTTCTTTATCCCTAGTGCTCTGTACTTTCAGGATAATTTTTCTAGGGCTGAGTCTTTAGTGTTTTAATTTTGAGTGTAGTGAGCTCTATCAGTATGTAAACACGTGCCCTTAATATATAGACATTTCTTTCTCCTATGTATTCTATCCCCCCATTTTACATTTCTTTTTAATTTTTTAATTTATGGTTTCATTTGCCTTTGCTATTTACAAGTTCTCTCTCCTTATGTCAGGCTTATTAATTAAATGCTATCTTCGTTGCAGTTATTTCTACATGTTACTTTGTCATATCAAGTAGAGACTTTTTTCATGGGTGTACTCTTTGTTGAATCTCTTTGGAACATCAGTAGAGCTTTGTTATATGCACAAATACACATAATTGTCTCTCTGCACTTTTAAGCATATTCCTAGGATTTTATTTCTTTCCTTTAGAATCAATATTTATATTACTGTATTGTGATATCTATTATATCATGAATTTAGATACTGTTGGTTTAAAATTGATTTTAAGAGTTATAACAACAACAGAAACAAAATGGTGCCTCAGTGCTCTGTGCCTTTACTCTGGAAAATACCTAAATACAAGCCCGTTGGAACATTTGATCATGATCATTTCTTTAGTGAATCAAACTTTTATTCCTATGTTCCTATCTGCAGAGATTTCTCTCTTTTTTTTTGAGACGGAGTCTCGCACTGTCGCCCAGGCTGGAGTGCAGTGGTGCGATCTCGGCTCACTGCAAGCTCCGCCTCCCGGGTTAAAACCATTCTCCTGCCTCAGCCTTCTGAAGTAGCTGGGACCACAGGGGCCCGCCACCACGCCCGGCTAATTGTTTTGGTATTTTTAGTAGAGACGGGGTTTCACTGTGTTAGCCAGGATAGTCTCGATTTCCTGACCTCATAATCCGCGCACCTCGGCCTCCCAATATGCTGGGATTACAGGCGTGAGCCACCGCGCCCAGCCCTATCTGCAGAGATTTCTATATGGAGAAAGGGGTTGGGAATATAGCTAAATCCTGTCTAGATATATTTTAACTCATGAGTATCTTTCAGTCCCACATCTAATGCTTACCCTCTGCCCATCTACAAACTCAGTGATACGAGCCTCTCCAATATGCTGAAACAACAACTCCTTTTTCGTCATATCTTTCTCCATGAATGCACTATTTTGCAGCTTTCTCCTACCTTCATTCAGCAGTTACCATTTTCCCAACTTCTGTCTTTCTCCCACCACCCCCCAAAAAGATGGATGCACTTTTGGAAAATTTATATTATCTTGGTTGTGGATATATTCATGTAAAACATCACCTTAAGTTTATCGCATTGTAGGTTTGTGGACTAATTTAGGTGAAACTAGATTGCTACAATTAAACTAAAAGTCTTTGTTATTATAATTGTCCTTTATCACGTTTAAGTGATTTTCCCATAAACCACAGTTTATTAATAAACCTTTCTCTCAGTGTCACATTCAAGCATACTGAAAGACTATAAATGAAGTATAAATTATTCTCACTTAAAAATATGAGAAGCATTTGCAGCATGAATGCTTGAACACATTTGTGAGTGGAGGTAACAGATGTTTATTTGAACTCTCTAAACTAAATTTATCATGATATCAATAAGGTAATTACATTTGAGCTGTGCAGTTTATTATAGGAACTGTATGCCTTTTATTTTACCTACATTATGCATTCTATATTTTATTTTTTAAATACAGACTCAAAACATTTTACAACTTACTGTTGAATATACACATAAGAAACCTGAGATTTCAGTTAGTAAAATGAATTATGATTTCCACTAGCATCAATTTTGTACAATTTCGAGAAGTGCAGGTATATAGATTTTTTCAGTGCACATGATAATTCAGATTAAAAATAGTTGGTTTTTTCTAAAAATAAATTTGGATGAAGTTTTATTACTTAAAAATTACTCTTCATTCAATGCCCATATTCTAGGTATTTCTTTGACATCTGCCTCATATTTTAACATTAAATGGCATATAGATGATGCTCCATAATATTTTAAATAAATAAATGTATTTACGAATCCCTCAACACTGTGTGATTTTCAGTTAAATTAGGAAACTAAACTTTAGAAAATGTAAACAACTTACTAAAGTCAGTGTAATTAGTAAGTGGTAGGAAAAAAATGCAAGCCCAGACTCTTTGTCTATTAGCTGACACTACCCCCCTCATCTCAGGTTTCATTTTGTTTTGTCAAATGTTATCAATATATAAAACATTATAATTCATTCAGCATTTTTATCTATGATTTTGATTGAATTGCACTTCAGTACCTTTACACATAAATGAGAAAATCACCACATAATTACTCTAAATCTATCTTTTGAAAATGGAAGAGAATGTAAATTGCAAATTATTTAAAAAATAATCAGAGACTTCCACCAGGGTACATGTCTACCCTGTCACAAAAACTCATACTTAGTAAAACATTCTTCTACATGTCTAGAGTTAGATTATTTTTTATTCATTTAACAAAAATCTTATTTATAATAAGTATATTAAAATATATTTAACATCAAGAGAAGTCATAGAAATTATAAGTTTGTAGATTATTAGCTTTTTCTCATTAGGGTGGGAGGGGTGGTTTTATTTAGCTGTATCTACAGAAGTCAAAATTCAGAATTGTTTTAAGGGTATAAAATCATAGGACATAAACATTTTTATACATAACTCCTTAGCTTGCTTTTTGTTGTTCTTCTCACTTAGATCAAATTTATCCCATTAAAGGTTTAGTAGACATTTTCAATCATGAAGATGAAAGGAAAAGAGAACACTGGAGATAAATAGATCCAGCGTCTTTTATGATGGTGCACTGGATTGACTACTTTCATTTAGCTTGATGTTTAAGGAAATTCTTACTTTTTTATATCATCCTTAATAAACCATCCTGTAGCTTACAAAAAAAAAAGGTTAATTTAAAGAGATTAGATCCAATATTCCTCACATAATCCAAGCCATCATTTAAAAAATTTATAAAAAGATATCACAGTATATTTCAGGGCACAGATATTCTACCATAGTAATTCCTTGTAAGAAAGAAAGAATTGCTAGTTCAGTTTACGTGTGAATAAAAATTTAGCATTTAGAAAAACGGAATTAGAAGCGTGGAATAGGATCAGTGATGATCAAGAAAATGTATTTTTTCAAATAATTCTGTAAATAATGTTCAGGACAATGCAGGGCACATCTGAATATAAGTGCTAAAATGATTGTTTTTCAATATTTCTTTGGCTACATTTATCTATTCACTCTTTCAAGAAAACTTTATATATATTTTTGTTAGAATTCAGTTAAGTTATTAATTTGCCAAATACTTTTACAAACAAAAATATTTGAACCAGCACTGAAAATAAGAAACATAATATGAATTTTTGTATAGCTGGATAGCTGCCAGATATCCTTCAGTGGGTGAATGAATAAATAAATGGTGCTATATCTAGAAAATGGGGTATACTCACCAACAAAAAGAAATGAAGTATACACACATTAAAAGACATGAAGGAAACTGAAATGCATGTTATTAAGTAAAATAAGCCAATATGAAAGGGCCACAGACTGTGCACTTCCAACTATATGTCATCCTAGAAAGGCAAAACTGTGAACACAATAAAATAATTAGTGGTTTCCAGGGTTTACGGAGGTGGAAGGGATGAATAGGCAGAGCACAGAGGATTTGGAGGCAGTAAAACTATTCTGTATGATACCATAATGGCGAATAGGTGTCCTTATTCATTTGTCCATACACATAGAATGTTCAACAGCAAGATTGAACCCTGATATAAACTATGGACTTTGGGTGATAATTATGTGTCAGTGTAGATTCATAGGTTGTAACAAATGCATAACCTTAGTGCAGGATGTGAAGAGTGGAGGAGGCTGCTTGTACATGGGAATGGGAGTCACATAGGAATTGTGTACTACCCACTCAATTTGCTGTTAATATAAAACTGCTCTTAAATACAGGTCATTAATTTAAAAAATTGACTTTTCCATGCAGCTATATTTAATTCTAGTAGTATTTAATGAACTGCATCAATATGATCAGACATAAGGCCAGCTCCACATAGGAAATTTCTTGTCAGGTTACTTTAGACACCAACTTTTCCCGAAAAGGTGTATGACTTTATGCTCAAGAATGCTTTCAGCTCTTCTGAGAAACAAGTAGAGCTTTCATTATTAACATGAATAAAAACATCCTCACTATGAAAGAAAAAATAAACCAATTATTTAAAGCATATTTAGTGAGATTTAGGACAATATTATAAGTATGCACGTTTTCCTTTCTTAAAAAATAAAATCATAAGAAAATGTGTTACCTGCTTTCTAATTATTGTATAAAAATATTATTTTAGATTTATGCCACTTGGTCTTTGTCATATGTTTTTAGATATATATATATAACATATTTATATATATAATATATATATTTGCAAATATACAGAAGTTATAGAGTATATCCAGGAGTAAATGTTCACATAACTAGCCTATCTTTCTTAAAAGTTGAGGTAATTGTTCTTGTCACTCCCTCATCAACCAACATTAAAGCTGTTCTCCCTTTTCCGCTTTTTCCACATTTGGCACATACCACTGAGCCTTTTATTGTTTTTGTTGGTTTTTTTTTTTTGTCTCTTTCAAATTAAGGATGTTTCTTTGGCTCCATTTGCCATAAACTTCATTTCCTGATAATGTTTAGGAGAAACAAAAGTTGCCAACTGAAAATCTACGTAAAACAAAATATCAATATTGTACTTCTAAGTGTGAATAAAGCATTTTGCTTCCTAATTCTAGTATTAATTCACTGAAATACCAGAAGAGTTAAATTCTGGTTTTTTAAATTATTATACTTTAGGTTTATTTTTGAATTTCTTTTCCATCAGTGACATAAACCACTAAGCTATAAAAATGAAATGAAAGACACTTAAAAAGGTAATAAGAAAAAATTCACCGATTTTTATTTCTTTGTGGTTGAGGTAATAGCTGGTTCACTCACTTCACATATGATGTGTATAAATCCCAGGAGACCACAGTTAATAGAAGCTCTGCATTAGACCTGCCCTGCATGCTCAAAGTTGTTGAGTTATTCCTTGTGAATACAAATTTTAGTCAAAAGACAAAAATAAGTTTAGAGTGCTTTTTTTTTCTTTCTGAGTCTATCTCATGCATAGTGACTGAAATCCTATTTTTCATGTTTCATGGCAATATATAAATTATACACATTGATAAAGTATTAGATTACAATTTTATAACGACAGTATCTAAAAACCAAAGTAAAACATTGAAAAATCATGACATTGTTATTGACATACATAAACTTATAACTAAAATTGTTTCCCTTTGAATGTATACTAGAAAGCAGAAACAATTATTTTTCTTATTATTTAAATACATTTCCTGATTTAATCTTCAAGATCTGGAAGCTCTTTCACATGCTGTGAGAATTACAAAAAGCTTCAATATCACATTTTACCAGTTCACATCATTAGCACTTATAGTTAAAATCATAGTAAAAAACAGAAAATGCTAACTGCAAAAGGTGTGTTGTGAAGAGTATACATGAATGTAGTTAAAATAAGGAATACGGATTTAATTTTAAAATCATATCATGAGTTGAAACACAAATACACAGCTTTGAGCCCTGCTCCTGCTAAGACCATTATATGTAAAGAGACAATACCTTTACAACCTCCGAAGAATTCCATTTGCACACCTACAAATTGAGGATTGAAATCCAATATTTCTTCTACATCTAAATTCAAAAATGCAACCATGTTTTCTTTTATCTTATGGAACTAGAAACTTGCAGGTTGATACGTTGCTAAGAAGAAATACTTCACAAATCTTTGAGACTTAGATCTTGCAAAGTGTTAATTAATTAAATATTAAAATCTCATTAATTTTATTTATTCTTAACCATGAAAATTTCTAATAAGAATGTTACAAAATAAACTTTACATTTTAAATATTAAGAGAGCTCCATTTGCAATATAACAAATTTTAATATCTTATTCATGACAACTAATATTTCTTGCCAATTTAATGAAAACTCATGATGTGTTATTTCACTGTGGCAAAGAATGAGCTATAAGATAAACACTATTTCACCATGAAATGCCTACTAATTAAACATTTAACCAATTTTTTGTAAGCTACACAGCTTTTGATTTAAATAAATTATCAATATAAAATATGTCATCTATCAGTAAAAATAGTTAGAAAATGAGCAAAACACAGGTTATATGTCTAGAGGCATAATTCTAAAATATCTTACTGAAATCTAAACAAAAGGGAAAACATTATATGGAGTCTTGATTCTTCTATTTATTTTTCTAGCTGGAGTGCATATCTGGAAAGGACTTGTCGTATGAATGTTAATTGTTATTTACTTTGTATTGTTTGATAGGTTTATGAAACATGCATATCACAACTTTTTTTCTATGTTTTTAAATAATTAGAAAGATATATAGATGGATATGTGTTTCGTTATTATTTTTACTTAATTTTACAAATCAGGTATACGTAATAGAAAATATTTAATTTTTAAAATGCACTACGTGGGCCACAGGTCAATTTGCCATTACAATTGAATCATCAAATACTGTGGCCTAAATATGGGCTAATTTTTCTCTGAAGTAAAAGCCTGGAATGAGAGATTTAGCACTGAGGGAATGATGTTGGCATTGCCATCGTCAAAACCAGGCTTCCAAGTTTGCTCCAATTATCACCATTTCTTAGACAGTATGATAGGAAAATATAAAGTCAAGAGCAAGTGGCTTCATCTGTTAGAAGACCCAGAAATAAGCCACATCATTGTGGTATGTGATAAGTGCCATTTGCATTTTATTTCCCATAACCCTAACCCTAACCCTAATCTTAATGTTGTCATTTGGCTTCATTAAACCATTAGAGAATTGAGAATTTTTATCCTTACCTGAATTTTAATGTGTGCATATAAAATTTGGCATCTATAAATAGGACATGAATGGAATGTGAGACAAAATTTGTAGTTGTTGTTAAATTAGTCTTCAATAGCTTTCCATATATTTTTGTGCTCTCTTCTTCTCAATGAAGAACAAAGCCTAGCATCCTACAAAGTCTTTCCTATTCTCAGACCAGCTTAATCCCAAGATTTTGGGGAGCACTCATTTTACTCCAGAGGCTTGATGTGGTAGACATTTGTTTATTTGTTTATCTTATTTCTCCAAGACATGAAAATTCATGTAAAATTATAATTTTATAATTCATATAAAACTGTGTAATTTTTGTATGAATTTTGACTTCTGCAGATACAGCTAAATAAAACCACCCCTCCCACCCTAATGAGAAAAAGCTAATAATCTACAAACTTATAATTTCTATGACTTCTCTTGATGTTAAATATATTTTAATATACTTATTATAAATAATAAGATTTTTGTTAAATGAATAAAAATAATCTAACTCTAGACATGTAGAAGAATGTTTTACTAAGTATGAGTTTTTGTGATAGGGTAGACATGTACCCTGGTGGAAGTCTCTGATTATTTGTAAAATAATTTGCAATTTACATTCTCTTTCATTTTCAAAAGATAGAGTAATTATGTGGTGATTTTCCCATTTATGTGTAAAGGTACTGAAGTACAATTCAATCAAAATCATATATAAAAATTCTGAATGAATTATGATGTTTTATATTGATAACATTTGACAAAACAAAATGAAACCTGAGATAATTTTTGTATTTTTAGTAGAGACAGGGTTTCACAAAGTTGGCCAGGGTGATCTTGAATTCCTGTCCTCAAGTGATCCACTCACCTTGGCCTCCCAAAGTGCTGGGATTACAGGCATGAGCCACTGCGCCCAGACTGTTCATTTGTTTTTAAGATAGGCTTTTGCTCTGTCACCAGGCTGGAGTTCAGTGGCACTATCACGTCTCGCTGCAGCCCTTCCTGGGCTGAAGTGATTCTCCTATCTCAGCCTCCAGAGTAGCTGGCACTATGAGCATGAACCATCATGCCTGGCTAATTTTTTAAATTTTTTGTAGAGACAGGTCCTTCTATGTTGCCCAGACTGGTCTTGAACTCCTGGGTTTAAGCAGTCCTCCTGCCTCTGCCTCCTAACGTGCTGGGATTACAGGCATGAGATACCACACCAGATCTTAAATTAATTTTTGTGTATGTGAATAAGTAGGTTTCCAGCTTCAATCTTCTGCATCTGGCTAGGCAGTTATCCCAGTGCCATTTATTGAATAGGAAGTCCTTTCCCATTGCTTTTTTTTTTTTTTTTTTTTTTTTTGCTGCCTTGTTGAAGATGAGGTTTTTGTAGGTATACAGCTTTTTTTCTGAATTCTCTACTGTGTTCCATTGGCCTATGTGTTTGTTTTTCACCCTTTCCATGATGTTTTTATTACTGTAGCTTTATAGTATAGTTTGAAATCAGGCAGTGTGATGCCTCTGGCTTTCTTCATTTTGCATAGGATTGCTTTGGCTATTTGGATTTTTTTTTTCTATATGAATTTCAGGATAGATTTTTTAATTCTGTGAAGAATGATGTTGGCAGTTTGATAAGATAGCATTGACACTGTAAATTGCTTTGGACAGTATGATCATTTTTATAATATTGATTCTTCCAATCCATAAGCTTGGAATATTTTCCCATTTATTGTGTCATCTCTGATTTTTTTCAGTAGTGTTTTGTAGATCTCCTTGTAGAGATCTTTCACTCCCTGATTAGCTGTATAATATGGTTTGGCTCTGTGTCCCCACTCAAATCTCATCTCAAATCATAATCCCCACATGTCAAGGGAGGGACCTGGTGGGAGGTGACCAGATCATGGGGGCAGTTTACCCCATTCTAGTCTCATGACAGTGAGTGAGTTCTCATGAGATCTGATGGTTTAAAAGTGGTTCTTTCCCCTTCTCTCTCTCTCCTGCTGCCATGTAAGATGTGCCTTGCTTCTCTTTCCACTTCTGCCATAATTGGAAGTTTCCTGAGACCTCCCCAGTCATGTCGAACTGTAAATTAATTAAATCTCTTTTGTTTATATAGTCTCAGGCAGTTTTTTATAGCAGTGTGAAAACGGACTAATACACTGTATTTCTAGGTATTTCATCTTCTTGTGGCTATTGTAGTAGGATTGTGTTGTTGATTTCACTCCAGCCTGAACATTGTTGGTGAAGAGAAATACTACTGACTATGTACATGGATTTTATACCTTGAAACTTTACTAAAGTCATTTATCAGTTCTAGAAGTTTTTTTGTCAAGGCCTTTAGGGTTTTCTATGTGTAGAATCATATAATCAGTGATGACAAATAGTTTGACTTATTTTCCTATTTGGATGCCTTTTATTTCTTTCTCTTGCCTGATTGCTCTGGTTAGGACTACCAGTACTATGTTGAATAGTAGTGGTGATATTGGGTATCCTTGTTTCGTTCCAGTTCTGGAAGGAGATGGGTCCAGGTTTTGCCCAGTTCTGAAGGGAAATGGGTCCAGCTTTTGCCCATTCAGTATGATGATGGCTGTGGGTTTGTCATAGATCGTTCTTATTATTTTGATGTATGTTTATTCGATGCCTAGTCTATTGAGTGTTTTT
The DNA here is from genome assembly GCF_000001405.40 of Homo sapiens. Lineage (NCBI taxonomy): Eukaryota > Metazoa > Chordata > Mammalia > Primates > Hominidae > Homo > Homo sapiens. The sequence goes on from NC_000013.11 coordinate 81,709,781, forward strand.
ATTATGAAGTGATGTTGGATTTTATCTGAAGCTTTTTCTGTGTTTCTTGAGATGATTACATGATTTTTGTTTTCAATTCTGTTTGTTAGGTGAATTTATTGATTTGCATATATTTAGCCAGCCTTAAATCCCAGAAAGAAAGCCAACTTGATCATGGTATATTAACTTGTTTATTGTGCTGCTGGATTCAGTTTGCTAATATTTTTGCTGAGAATTTTTGCATCCATGCTCAGGAGTGATACTGGCCTAAAGTTTTCTTTTTTCATTGTGTCTCTGCAAGATTTTGGTATCAGGCTAACACTGGCTTCATAGAATGAATTAGGAAGGAGCTCCTCCTCCTTGATTTTTTAGGAATAATTTTCATAGGATTAGTACCAATTCTTTGTTATGTCCAGTAGAATTCAGCTGTGAATCCATTTGGTCCAGGGCTTTTTTTTTTTTTTTTTTTTTTGGTTGGTAGGTTCTTTATTACTGACTTAATTTCAGAAGTTGATTTTGGTCTATTCAGGGTTTCAGTCTCTTCCTGATTCAATCGTGGGAGATTTTGTGCTACCAAGAATATATCCATTGCCTTTACATGCTCCAATTTGTGTGCATAGAGTTGTTCATAGTAGCCTCTGAGGGTCTTTTGTATTTCTGTGGGATCAATGGTAATATCACCTTTGTCATTTCTGATTGTGCCTATTTGTATTTCCCCTTTCCTTTTCTTTGTTAATCCAGCTAGTACTTTATAAATCTTATTTATTTTTTTAAAGAACAAACTCTTGGTTTCTATTGATCTTTTGTGTGGATTTTTGCATCTCAATTTAATAAGCTTTCTCTAATTTTAGTCATTTCTTCTGCTATCTTTAGGGTAGGGTTGTTCCTTTTTTAAAAATTCTTTTAGGTGAAAAGTTAGATTGTTAATTTGAAATCTATTTAACTTAATAATGGAGGCATTTAGGGCTTAACACTCTTTTGGCTCCAACCTACTAATTTTGGCAAGTTGTGTCCCTATTTTTATTAACTTCAAAGAATTTTTTGATTTCTGCCTTAATTTTGATGTTCACCCAGGAGTTATTCAGGAGTAAATTGTTTAATTTCCATATATTTGTGTAGTTTTGAGAGATTTTCTTAGTATTGATTTCTATTTTTATTGCACTGTGCTCTGAGAATGTATTTAGTATGATTTCAATATTTTTGAATTTATTAATGCTTGCTTTATGACTGAGCATGTGGTTGATCTTAGAAGATGTTTTGTGGGCAGATGAGAAGAATGTATATTCTGTGATTTTTGGGTGGTGTGTTCTATAGATGTCTATTAGGTCCAATTGGTCAAGTGTTAAGTCCAGAGTTTATTTGTTAATTTTTAGCCATGATGATATGACTAATGCTGTCAGTGAGGTGTTGAAGTCTCCCACTATATATATATTATATCCCACTAAATATATATTATATCTATATATTATATCAATATATACTAAATATGTATCCCACCATATATTATATCAATATATATTATATATATTAATATAATATATAATATATATTGATATTATATATAATATATATATTATATATACATAAAATAAAGTTTCTTGTTGAATTGTACCTTTTATCATTGTGTTATGCCCTCTATTGTCCTTTTAAATTTTTATTGGTTTGAAATCTGTTTTGTCTGATACAAGAGTAGCAATTCCTGCTCTTTTTTGTTTTCTGTTTGTGTGGTAAATCTTACTCTATACTTTTACTTTGAGCCTGTGGTGCCATTACATCTGAGATGCGTCTCTTAAAGACAACAAATGATTAGGTCTTCACTTTTTATCCAGACTGTCATTCGGTCTTTTAAGTGAAGTGTTTAGGCCATTTACATTCAAAGTTGTTATGGATACTTGTGTTTTTGACCCTGTCATCAGGTTGTTAGCTGGTCCTTACATAGATTTGATTGTGTAGTTGCTTTATAGTGGCTGTGGGCTATATGCTTAAGTGTGCTTTTGTGGTAGCAGTTGTCTTCTTTCAAATCTATATTTAGCCCTCCTTAAGGATCTCTTGTTGTAAGGATGGTCTAGTTCCATCAGCATTTTGTCTGAGAAAGATTTTTATTTCTCCTTCACCTATGAAGCTTAGATTGGTGGCTACAAAATTTTTGGTTGGAATTTCTTTTCTTTAGGGATGCTGAATAAAGGTCTCCAATCTCTTCTGCTGAGACGTCTGCTGCTAGCCTAATGGGGTACCCTCTATAGGTGACTGGCCCCTTCTCTCTAATTGCCTTCAAGATTATTTCTTTTGCATTGCTCTTAGTGAATCTGATGACTATGTTCCTTGAGGATGGTCGATCTATAATATCTGGCTGGAGTTCTCTGTATTTCTTGGATTTACATGTTGACTTCTGTAGTGAAATTAGGGAAGTTTTTGTGGACTGTAACCTCAAATATATTTTCCAAGTTGCTTTTTCTCTCTCCTCCTTTTTCAAGAATGTCAATGAGTTATAGATTTGTTCTCTTGTAAAATTCCATATTTATTGGAGGGTTTGTTTTCATTTTTCTTAATTCTTATTTTATTTTATTTTTTATTTTTATTATTATTATTATTTTCTCACCTAGTTGATTCCAAGAACCGGTCTTTGAGCTCTGAGATTCTTTCCTCAGCTTAGTCTAGTCTGCTGTTAATACTTCTGAATGTATTATGTGATTATTGTAGTGAATTTTTCAGCTCAAAAATTTCAGCTTGTATCTTTCTTAAAATAGCTATTTTGTCTTTCAGCTCTTGAATCATTTTTCTGGATTGCTTGGCTTCCTTGGATTAAATTTCAACTTTCTCTTGGGTCTCACTGAGCTTCCTGCCATCCAGACTCTGAATTCCATGTCTGTCATTTCAGGCATTTCAGACTGGTTAAGAACCATTACTGTAAAGCTAATGGCCTTGTTTGGAAGTAAGCAGACACCTCCGTTTTGAATTGTCAGAGCTCTTGTGCTGATTCTCTCTCTTCTGTGAGGGGTGATACTCTTTTAGTTGTGGTGTAGGTTGAGTATAGTCAGTTGGCTTCCTTACTGGAAGTTTTCAGAGGCAAAGGCTCTGTACAGGGTCTTTGTTTGTTGTGGCATTCTTGGCTTTGTTTTTGCTGTGAGTAGTATTAGTAGTGTTTTTCGTTGTTGTATAATATTTTGGACTGAAATCAAGTAGATGTTGTTTGAGAGCTTTGACATAGCCATAGAGTTCCCTTGTGTATTCTTTGCATTTGCAGCTGTGTTCTGTGGAGTGAGGGTGAGAGAAGTGACCCTATCACCAGGTCTGCTTATGGGCCTTGGGGGAACCACTTCTGATCATTGGCACCATGCCTGCTATTTTGTTGTTGTTTGTCTTTCAGTTGACTTTTGTTGTTATTTGTCTTTTGTTGATGTAGTCTTTCAAGCTGCAGGGCTCCTTTGGGGAGAAGTCCCTTAGGGAAATAGGCCACCCCCCATTGGACCATCCCTGTGGAAGGAGGCACATCTAGGTCCCAAACCAGCCTTTGAACCTGTGCCACTCTTCCCTCTCCATTTTCTGAGAATGTGGGCTCCTCCCCCATTCAGGTGCTAAGCACAGATCCCAGCTGGGCACTCTTGAACTGCAGGCCGCAGCCCTGGGACCAGGAGCTACTCATGGCTCTATCCTCCAGATGCCTGGCATTGGGCTCTGGATACAGCATGGGAACCCAAGTGCTTTCAGGCTGCCAGAATGCATTCAGGTGGAATAAAGCACCCAGGCTGGAGGCTGCACTGTGTACCTGCACTTCGGGATGGTTACTGGGGACTGGGGGTAAGAAAGGGCCCTGGGAGGGGTTGTTGGGTAGGCAGGACTTCAGGACAGATGAGCCCTATTCCTGTGGAGAAGCAGGTCCTGCATTCTCCCTGTTGGTTAGCTGGGCCCAGAACCTCTAGAGAAAGGCAGCCCTGGGGGATGGGCACTTATGGCCAGGCTTCGCAAGAGTCAGCCTTCACTCAAACGCTCAAACGTCCCCAGTTCTGCGCTTGCTGCAGCTCTGCCTCTAATCTTGGGGGGCATCCCCTGCAAACTCACACACTGGTGGGGGTGTGGGGTTCCCTGCAGCTAGAATCCCAAAGGTTCAAGGTGAGAGTAGGCAGTCCCCCAGTCCTTTTACACACCCTATCGGGAGGTGCCTTTCAGGGCTGGGAATCAACCACCGCCTTGGGGCATGCCATGTGGTTTCCAGTTTCCTCCCTCTTTAGGCTCAATGTCTGCCTCTTCTCTGCATCCACATTTGGCATTTTCTCTTTGAAGATCTGTTCAAGCTATGTTGGTGTAGTCGAAATCATGATCTTTCTCTGTGGGAGTGGCACTTCATGGCTGCATCTAGTCTGTCATCTTGCCCAGATCCAACAGGTGGTCATTTTAATATAACTTTTTTTTTTTTGAGACAGGGTCTCACTTTGTCACCCAGGCTGGTGTGCAGTGGCAAAAAACACGGCTCACTTCAGCCTCAACCCCCTAGGCTCAAACGATTCTCCTGCATCAGCCCACAAGTAGCTGGGACTACAGGTGTGGCCACCATGCCTGGCTAATTTTTGTATGTTTTGTAGAGATAAGGTTTCAACCATGTTGCCCAGGTGTGTCTCAAACTCCTGAGTCAAGCCATCCACCAGTCTGGCCTTCCAAAGTGCTGGGATTAAGGCGTGAGCCACCTTACTGAGCCTAAATATAACTTTTTATATTCTAAATATATGCTAACTTCAATCTTTTGTGTATATGATGCATTCTATATGAAAAATTTCAAAAGTGAGATTGTTCCTTGAAAAAATGTGGATAAATAACATCTTATATATCACATGCTCCTAATAACTCAAGTAAGTATATCAGGTTAGCGCTAAACAGAGAAATGAACAAATTACTATTAAAAAGCAGATATATAAGGCACATATTACTGTGAAGTTGAAACAAGCTCTCCGGTGATCCCTGGAGGCAGCTTTAGAAACAACTACCTGAAGATGAGGACATTTAGAGGGAATTCAATTCAATTTGGCCTAGTTTTCAACATTAATTCCTGAGAATTATATTACATGTAAGTTATGCTCTAGTGTGATGGTACCAAATAACTTCGGAATTGAGTTTTCTATCTCTAGCACAATTTTGCTTAACACAGAATGTAAGTTATATATGTATATAATTGTAACATGCTTTGCTTTGGCTTATATGATTTATAGCGATTTAGAATGAAATACTCCTGCATATATATACACACATATACACACAGGCACAATTTGTTACTATGTCAGAATCAGTGGTTATTTCAGAAAGAAAATATAGAAATATTTTCTTCTTCATGGCTTATGTATTTTAAAATGTGAGCATTATATAATATGCTCATTTTAAAACATTTTCTTTATGGTTTTTAAATTTCAATATTATCATTTTCATTCTTATCATAACCAACTGTAAGTATTTGTATAAAAAAGAGAGGTGAATAAAGGACTCTGTTTTTACATGTAACCATATAATTTTTCAAAGGACAACAATATTATTTTAAAAGTTGTTCTCTTGGTATAAGTTTGAAAGCAATTTGAATAGTTTTCATATCTCTAGAAAGCTACGGAAATCTTGTCCTTACCCAAACTAAAAGTAAAACACTTTATTTCAATGAATAGTTATTGATTCAAAGTATGCAAAACACCCTAATATAACTTTGTTTGCAATCAATTGGGAAGAATGAGGCTTATTCAAACTACTTTAATATTGTGAGTTGCCTAGACAGTTGAGATTACTTTGTAAAGATTTTAAAGAGTTTATGTCTAAAATTTGTTTGCTCATTCATCTCAAGATATTTTTTCATTATCTACTATATGGCATGTACTATGTTTGCTATTTGAGTTAAAATGCAGTGCAAACAAGACATAGACCCTTTCTTCAGGACGAACGAATAAGGACACAGTGATACTAAACTGCAACTACTACTTAGGAGAAGTACCTGATACCATAAACGTGTACTATGGGGGAAATGACTCAGCCAGGGAGATCTGGAAAAGCTGTCCCGAAAATATGATAACTGGATGACGATACAGCAGTCTAAAGTCAGATTATGAGTTAACTAAATTTTGGTGTGCAGGAAGAAGACAGATAATTCCTCCAGACTCACCTATGTGAGTGTCTAAGCCTAAGGGTATAAATACTTTGACATTTATGGAAGTAAATCGTTCTTTGTATTTTATTGTATTTTTTAATTTAAAAAAATAGATTCCCTTAGTATACCTTCCATTAACATTTTGAGGCTTTTACATCTTTAAAGCTGACATATAAATAAAAGAACTTATGGTTTTAATGCCCAAATATAATGAAATTACATACAAAATATCTCTCTATACAGTGTCTTGATCATTACACTGTTATCTTTGTAGAGATTTTAAAACGTGTTTTTTTTTTTTAATCTTGCATATGGATCCTAGCAATTATCAAAAGATTCCCCTATTCCTTTCTAAATATTTGACTCACACCTAACACAGAATCCAGGGGAGCTGGGGTGTTAGAATATGCCACACTAACTCAACCCTACGCTCCCTGTTCTTTCTCTCTGTTAACCCACTGCTGTGATTGCAACAGGATGAAAAAGGGGAATGCATTATGAAGAGGCACAATAGTGATTCATTTATCATCTCAATTCCCTTTGCGTTAGCCCTGCCTCTGCTGATTTAGAGAGAGAAAAACTTGGGATCAGAGCAAAGGTGAGAACCTCAGCCACACTGAAATTAAAAATTAAATTTAGAAATCTGGCCCAAGCCACAAAATGTAACAGCGTTTAAAGTTGTGAATCAAGGAGAATTGCATGGCTCGCTAATGAAGAAGGAGAGGCTGTTAAAACAATAAAAGAATATAAGAAATAGGTGAGGGTTAATATATCCTGATTAATTCCTTCATAAAATATCTCAGAGGAAAACTGGAAGAAACTGGGGAAAGTTAGATGTAGAATAATTTTTAAAACATTCTGAATTTTAATGACTGTAACCAACATTCCCAGACTCCTTAGATACATGCTTTCCTCCCACCTCAATGAGTTAAGAAAACATAATATACATTATAATATATTTTTTTTAAGTGTACCTGTATGATACAAAGATAACTTTGGAGAAAATCATCTTGGCTTGCAAAAAATAAGGTTACGTTCCCTCCTTTTCCTCCTTCATTCCTCCTCACCCTCTTCCTTATACTATTATTATTAGTATCACTGTGGTTATTACTGTTTGATTGTTCTGCTCAACTTTAATGCAAGGCAATTATGGAAGACTATGAAAATCAAATTATTAAATTTATTAAAATTAAATTATCACATTAAATTATTAATCCTAAATATTTAAACTGTGATAGGTTTGTTGGATCTTTTTTTTTTATAAAACTACTTGTAATATCTATGATAAAGAAGGACCATTTATCTTTTAGCAATGGCAAAAGTGATTTATTTTCCACACGAGGTTAAAAGCTAACATTTAATTTCTCATTTGAAAATTTCCAGTGCTTTGGAAAATAAACATGCCTGACCTTAAAAATTTTTGCTTGTTTTAGTGTATATATATATATATATATATATATATATATATATGCTTTACTATATATGTAAGAGCTCAGATATGTTTGTACAAAGATATGGCACAGCTATGCAAATATCAATTCACCATGTCTTTTACAAACATTCTACTAAATATTTTACAAAAAAAGCACCTTCCTCATTTCAAAAATATAAAGAATATTAAATATATAAAATAATTTCTTAAGATTCTATATTCAGAGTTTTACCTTTAAGTCATGGTAGACAGAGTGATCAAGAAATAATAAATAAAATATATTTGGCATAAACAAACAAAAAATTAACTTTATCAGGACAGGGAATAATTTTTAAATTCTCCTGGTCATGTTTTTAATCTATTTTTTGTTAAGAAGGAACTATCCAGATGGTCCCTGACTTATGAGGTTTGATTTTATGATGGTGCAAATGTGATAGTCATATAATATGCTCCTTGACTTACAAAACAATTATGTCCAGATAAACCTAGCAGAAGTTGAGAAGTTGAGGAACATCTATATATGAATACAATAATCACATTGTATTTTATGGGAAGCTAGTGTATATATCATAGTCTTAAATTTATTCCTTCACCACATAAAATCCCTTCTTTTCTTCAAGTTTCTAAATGTTTGCCCAAGCCACAAGCCTCATTGTATTTTCCTATTTCTCCTTTTCATTTCTCACATATAATTAATCATTATGGGTAATTAATTTTACTACCAAAAGCTGTTTACTGTCTTTTATCTTCATCTTGCAATGTAGTACTGGCCATTATCTTCTACCTCTAAATTACTACAAGACTCTTTAAAATTGGTCTCTCTCCATTCATGAGTCCCTCTCAACAGTTCATTTACTCTAGTGATAATTCAAAGAGATAAATTTGATCATGTATATTGTTCTGTTTAATACCACCTTGTGAGTTCCACATTTTCCTCAGATTTGAGTAGAAACTCCTTAACAAGGCAGATGAGGCCATGTAGTTCTGCCCTTTCTCCCACCAATCTCATATCTCACCATATACCTTTTATGTGTTGTTTCCTCTGTGCTCTTTCATCCTGCCAATACCTTCTACACTTTTTTAATACTGCTTGGTTAATCCTCCTTCTTTAAACATCAACTTAGATGTTACCTCCTCCAAAGAACCTCCCTTGAATTACTAGGGCATTAAGTATCCCTCCTAAATAGTATCATGCTAACTAGGAATAGTAAAATTGCGATATATAGTATACAGAATTGTGATTGTTTACTTAATTAATTTTCCCCTAATTAAATTTTAGGCATCTTGGAGTAAGAATTATGGCTTTCATCTACATATCCTTGGAAGCTAGAGCAGGGTATAAACTGATAGTATAAGTTATCAATTAAATTGCATTGATAGAATTTGAAATTTAACTTACAAATGATAGCCAGTAAATTTTTTGCTGTGAAAGATGCTTCTAATATTTAACCTGAAAAATATATGGGCTTTGAAAGAAGATGGCAAAAGAAAGAAAAACAATATAAGAAAGATGGCAAACCAATTCAAGTATATACAGGTATGTGAAGTGAGTTCAGAATACTGGAACAGAGAAGAGAGTCTATGGGTATAGACCATTGAAAAAGTTCATATAGTTTTGTGGATACCAAAAGTTAACATAAAAAGATAGATAAGGGAATTATACACTTAACTAGGTAAGCTGACTCCACGTGATAATTTGGAGGGCTTCATTTTATGCTATTGCAAGAATTTTGTATTTTATTTTTGAGACAAATAAGAAGGTATTAAAAGATCTTCATAAGGTGAGTAGCTGTTTCCTTACCAGCCCTGTTAAAGATCTGAAAGGTTCAAGACTGGTGGTAGAAAGACTAGTTAGAGTCCCCGAGCCACTTATAAATGCCTCCTGTCCTAAATGATGGGAGTTACTATTCTCTAATACTTTCACAAAACAGTTCAATTGAATTCCTCTAGAAGTGTAGAACTGGCTTTTAGCTCAATTTTTCTTCCCACTGAGTTGACAATGGAACTCTGCTTTTTTTTTTCTCCAGGAAGTTTCTGAGGTTCAGTTACAGAAGTATTTTTTGTACAGCATAAATATTTCCAAACTGTATTTCTTCCATTTTTCCCCTTAGTAAGCACCGCTTACAAATAGGTGGTGATAGAAAGACATGGATATATTTGACATCTCTTTCTTATACTCTCAACGTGTTGTCAATATAATCACCACTGCATTTTTTATAGGGAAGCTATATTTTACTTATGACTACCCAGTGATTAGATTGTCTACCATTCAAAGTGAGGTGCTTCCATAAGTCAGTTTACTATGGTTACTTACCTGAGCTGTCGGCTTTGCCCATACCTCCAAAGCTAAAAATTGTATTTATATTGTGTTTCACATGTATTCACCTCCATCTTCCTTTTGCCATTTTAAGCTATGGAAATTTAACTTTCTCCTGTATATTTAGTTTTCTTTGATGAATCTTATTACAACGCATTTTTCCATGCACAATTCTTGAGTGACTCCTTTGTTAACTCTTCTCTATCAGAGCTTCTATAGTAACTTGAGAGCTGAAAGCAAAACTCAACTACATCCCAAGACTTTCATTGAAATTCTTTTAGATTATGAAAACTACATTAAAAGTTCTAGTAAATAAATAGTAGTAAAATGATGCATTACATAGAAAAGACATAAAGGAAGAAAAAATGTTTCCACTTCTTAGAGAGGGCAATGTGGTATATTGAAAACAATGTATATATTGGCTTTGAATTACATAGTCTTCTGTTGAGATCCTTTCCTTCTCATTGTCAGCTTCATTTTGGTTTTAATTCTTAAGGACTATGGAATCAATTTTCTTATTGGTAAAATTACATTCAGTACAGATAAGTATTAAATGGATAATATGTATCAGCATTTGGCAGATATGAACAGTCAATGTATTTACTTCTCTCTTGTTTTTGCTCTTCATTGTCATTCATGTCTTCCAAAAGATTTATATATATATATAACATATATATATATACATATATAAAGAATATATATATATATAAAAATATAAGCTTTTAAAAATCTCTGTGAAACCAGCCATAGGGTTACATGCTTGTAATTCCAGCTACCTGGAAGGCTGAGGTAAGAAGATTGCTTGAGCCCAGGAGTTTGAGACTAGCCTGGGCAACATAGCAAGAACTCATCTTAGAAAATAATAACTATAATAATAAATATCTGTCAAGATTGATAGCAAAGATATAAACTAAAATATATATCACCATTGTATTCATTTCATATATTTGATTTGTATTCATTTCAATCATACAACCATTTAACTGGGCTATTTGTAATACCAATAAAAATGCTGACAATTATAGATCATTTGTTTTACTATTTTTTAAAAAATTAAGTTTGTTTTTAAGAGACAGGGTCTCATTATGTTGTCCACTCTGGTTTTGAACTCCTCAAACCGTCTGCCTATGTTGACCTCCCAAAGTGCTAGGATCACTTACTTTAGAATGAAAAATATCCTGCTTCCTTTTCTGAACTAACAGAGAGCTTTATAATTAGTAGGCAGTCTATATTTGTTAAATTGCTTGTAATGTTAGTTAATTTTTACAACCTCATACACTGTTATTTGTTTTCTAATGATTTTTATTTAATATTTCTCATTCTTGCTATATAAGGAAAAATAAAACAAAGAAAAAAATTAAAATCAAGTTCCCTGAGTCATAAACTCTGTCACTGGTGTCCAGTAATGCTTTAAGATCACAAGGATAATTTGTATATTCCTGGAAGGTATGAAACACTAATCTCAGGGCTAAATTATATTACTTAACATTTTACAAAAAATTTATAATTATTGATGTCGAATTTCTGTGGGGTCTATAGATCTTTATGCTGCCATTTCATAAATGAATAACCTGAAGCTTCCTTCTATGACATTCCAAATCCCACACATAAGTCAGTGGAATGGAGCCAGAGGAATGTTAGACAGTTTTGAAGTCCAGTCACAATGCATAGTGAAATATCTCCTCACTCAATCCATTAGCAACATTGCCTCAAATTTAATGAAGTAATCTCATGTAGAAAGTAAAACTTTTGTTAAAGTACTTCTTACGTATCTCCTTGTATTGAGTGGACAGGGTTTCCATTTGAAGTTCACTGTCTATAAGACAAATTGACCTTAATGAGAGCACCCTGAATAGTATTGCCAATGTAGAGGTCAAAAGTAACATTAAAGAAGAAAATAGCACTATAAGAATAGCTGAGAACTCAGAAGACTGTGCTCAGCACTAAATATACACAGCAGGAAGGGGTTGGAGGGAGGTGATATGTGTTCAATTGACCATCTATTTTATGGGGGAATAAATAATTTACTCAGGGTTATTTGAAGGGCAGTGAAGTATTGTGTCTTTCTTGCTGAGGTGGTTAATTATACTTTGGATTTATTCTCAAGGGAAAATGGGCTCCTATCTTTTGAAACTGTAATATAGAAATAATTGCTGCATGTGATTGCACCCTCTGTACATATTTATTGACTAAATGAATGAGAAAATGAAACAAAATTATGAATTAACTTGTAAAAACTAGTGCAATAGAAAAACACTATATGATCTCTGCCTGCCCTTTCAGACCAAAGCCAGAATAGAACAAAACAAAATAACATAAGGTTTCAATTCAGCCTATCTGGGCTACTACAACATTATTTGTAACTTTCACATATTTGCAAACATTATAAAATCAACTTTATAATGAAATTTAACTGACGAATTTGATTAAGCAGTACATTTGGAGAATGTTCAATTTAACCACGTTAATTTTAAAACATTGCTTAGCAAAATAAATAAATTTTATAAAGTCAAAATAAAATATTTAAGTAGGCACAGTTCTGGAAAAAAGCTAATATATGAAGAATAAAAATTAAGCTTTCTACCCATTTAGCAATTCCATATCAATTACCTTATTTAGCCATCTCTGCAATGCTAGAATATATTATTACTCATTTTTGCAAAGGAGGAGGTGCAGCTTGGAGTGTTGATGTGGCTCTCCCAATAACATGTAGCTTCCTGTTCCACATTTCACAGTCTTCAAGTCAACCGCACTAGGTATATTTTGATCTCTCAAAAATGTCACAGTCTCTTTTGTTGTAGATTTTGAACAGCTGATTCCTTATTCTAGAACTATCATTTACTTCTCTCCTCATCCCTTTCACTTGACTAAGTTCTCCTTTAGCCAACAGTTATATTTTTAAATCTCAGTCTATGCTAGAAACTGTAATTCTCTTTCATCCTTCAAGTTTCAGTTTAGTACTTCTTAAATTGGAAAGCATTCCCTAATTCTACAAATATAGGATTGGAGCCTTTTTGTACTAGAGATTGGCAAACTATGGACCAACCTGCTGCCAAGTCCAGCCTGCTGCCTGTTTTTGTACAACCTCTGAGCTAAAAATGTTTTTCTCATTTTTAAATGGTTCGAAAAAATTGTGCAGTATGAAAATTATATCAAATTCAAAATTGACTTTCCATAAGTATTTACTGGGACACAATTATACCCATATAATAAACACTGGAATCTTCATAAATGTGCATACATAGGTATCAAGGGCATGTCTGAGTTCTCTCTGAGACCAGCTGCATCAGATTCACCATCATGAAGCAACCAAATAGAGCCCGAAAAATTTCAGCAGCTTGAAAGACTCAAATCAAGAAAGATCATCATCGTATCATTATAAATGAGGTAGATAAAAAGCATTTTTAAAAAATGCTTTTGTGACAATAAAGTTGGGCAATTATTAGACAGGTTTCTAAACAAAAATAAGATAAATGAATAATATTCAAACTAGTAGAAGATGAAGGGGACTCTGGGGAGAAAGAAAGAATGTGTGTGGATGTGTTATCATAAATATACTATTTACTTTTTATCTAGCAACTTAGTGATTATACCAATAGTGGAATATATGACTAATAAAAAGTTATTCTTCTGTATAAGTTTTTTAATTTTTTCTTAAGTTTTGCTATTTTAGATTAATATTTCTCTTAATTTTTTATGATCTTGAATTGTTATTTATTCTAAAACACATGAGTAAAAATGCACAATTTTAAAAAGATTAAGGAACACCTTAAATTTTGAAATGTTAACTCATTAAAATATTACTATTTTTACATTATTGATTGAAATAAATTATTTTAATTTTCTGGTTCCCTTTAATTAATAGTCACTTTTATACTGTAGAGATTTCATTTTTGATATCTTTTCTATAGAAAATGTAATCTTGGAGAGCAGTGAATCCTGATTTAAGTCTGCAACTAGCAGCAGAATGTTAACTACTTCAGTTTCCAATATCTAGTGGCTAATGTGTAATCCCTGATTATATCTCTAGGTTTTTAATATTCCTCACTCCAAAAGACCTTGATCATACTAATTTCCAAGTTCTGCTTACAGGGTTAGATTTCTTATTTTAATTTAATGTTCTAGAGCTCATCTATAATTCAGAATAATGCATGATTGAATAAATAAATAAACCTGAATAACTTATTGCCATATTATGAAGAAAGGCAGAAATCAAAGTATATTCAACAGGTCCAATTATATTGTTAAGTATAGCAGCCTATTGTTTTTGTTCGTTTGTTTGTTTGAGACAGAGTTTTGCTCTTTTTGCTCAGGCTGGAGTTCAAAGGTGCGATCTCAGCTCACTGCAACCTCCACCTCCCAGTTTCAAGTGATTCTCCTGCCTCAGCCTCCCAAGTAGCTGGGATTACAGGCATGTGCCACCATGCCCGGCTGATTTTGTATTTTTTTCAGTAGAGACGGGGTTTCTCCATGTTGGCCAGGCTGGTCTCGAACTCCCAACTTCAGGTGATCCTCCCGCCTCGGCCTCCTAAAGTGCTGGTATTACAGGTGTGAGCCATCATGCCCAGCCTGAAGCCTATTGTTATATACAAGTCTATAAAACTGAACTGTTTTAAGGCTTAAATTAGGCCAAATTCCATGCATTTTTGAACAATTTTAATGTTTCAAATTTTTATCTTATTAGGAATATTTGGAAAAGAGGAAGAAGAAATGTGTCCTCAGTTGAAATACAGGCCATGGGCTAGTAACCACATTTTTAGTATTTGTTGAATGCACTATGTCTTCTTTTCAAAATATTTTCGTGATGGTTTATACTGAGAACGTATAATCTGTTTTGAACTGAATAGATGTTGATTGGCATGCCTAGCAAGATGAGAAAAATCACTCTCATTGTTCCTGGCCCTAGTAGAATATATTGGTCTATTTAGATCGGTTTCTCTTAGTATTAGGACATTTTCTTACCCTTAGGACATGTCTATTACTGTTAAAACATAAGATTTCTGGAGTCACAACTGGATGCTTGAAGTCCTCAGTGATGCGTTTCCATTCTGGTTAGGCAGAAGTCCAAGGGATGAATAACCACTGGTATCTCCAATTTGCCTTAAGCTCCACAGTGGTTACACTCTTCAAGACCTTCAACTTATCATTCACATGATCAGACCAATGCTTGTTCAACGACTAAGAGGAAGCCCTCATGAAA
Organism: Homo sapiens; assembly: GCF_000001405.40. Classification (NCBI taxonomy): domain Eukaryota; kingdom Metazoa; phylum Chordata; class Mammalia; order Primates; family Hominidae; genus Homo; species Homo sapiens. The sequence goes on from NC_000013.11 coordinate 81,724,824, forward strand.
ACTTTTGGGGCCAAACTTGGGACAGTTTTCTAGTTTCTAGTAATATTCTCTACAAATTTCAGCTTCTTCTGCAAACTGAACTCCAATCTTTGTATCCCCATCTCAGAAAAACAACTACTCTCTTTCTCTGATATACATCTTCTGGGTAGAGTTTAAAAAGTGCATTAATGTTCAAAACCCGACTGAAAGTAGGGCTCGCTTTATTTCTATCAAGCTTCACAGTTTTGCACTACCTGTTTTCCTATGCCTAAAAATATTTGCTCACATGTTATATCCAATTCTGTAGTTGTTTACCGGTTACAGTAAGTCCAGTGTGAATAAAGCCAAAAGGGTCGGAAACTTTTGCATTTCCCTTTAATTCTATTTTTCTAAAATTAATTTAATAATTTATATTCTAATGACAAATCAATGGCTAAAAGGAAACACTATTCAGTGTTTGTTACTCTAACATTTGCTTTTTTTGGATGATAATTATTTACAATGATATTAATAGCAGCAGGAGACAGACAAATTCCTAGGCAGACAGGTACAGATCCCCCATGAAACCCAACCATCAAACCAAAGACAATTTAAAGCCTGAAAACTGAGCTGCCAGTTCTGGGAAGAGTAAATGACTGGAATGAGAACTTCCTCAATGCCCTTTAGCCAATCAAATTGTGCCCTTTCTAGGCCCGCCCATGGACCAATCAGTATGCACTCCCGTACTCTGAGCTCATGAAAAACCAGGACTTGGCTGGGCGTGGTGGCTCACGCCTGTAATCCCAGCAATTTGGGAGGCCAAGGCGGGCAGATCACGAGGTCAGGAGATCAAGACCATCCTGGCTAAGACGGTGAAACCCCATCTCTACTAAAAAAAAAAAAAAAATTAGCCGGGCGTGGTGGCGGGCGCCTGTAGTCCCAGCTACTCGGGAGGCTGAGGCAGGAGAATGGCCTGAACGTGGGAGGCGGAGCTTGCAGTGAGCCGAGATTGCGCCACTGCACTCCAGCCTGGGTGACAGAGCAAGACTCTGCCTCAAAAAAAAAAAAAAACAAAAAAAAAAAACACAGCCACACATTGGACAATCTGCATTCAGGCCTGCTCTCATACAGAGGGCCACCCACTCTTGGGTACTGTCTGTGCTGAGAGCTTTCCTTCTGTAGCTCAATAAAATTCTTCTGTGCTTTGCTTACTCTCTGGTGTCCACATACCTCATTCCTCTTGGAAGCGGGACAAGAACCTGGAACCTGCTGAACAGTGGGTGCAAAAGGAGCTGTAAAACTGTAACCCTACCTCCCACTTACCGAGCAATGAGGGAGAAATGCTGCTTTACAACATGACCCCATTTGTGGTGCTGCGGGCTGCGGGAACGAGCTGTAACATGAACAAAGTATAACACAAAAGGGCTGTAACATGCCCCTCGTTTGCTGCACTACAGACCGCAGGAACAAACATGAGCTGTAACATGAATGAGCTGTAACACGCCCCACCTCTCATTTGCTGTACTGTGGGTGGCAGGAAGAGAGAGAGAGTTGTAACAGTCCTTGAGGCTCAGACCTAGGGACTACCCGGGTGAGAGTCAGCTCCACAGTTGCTGGCATCTCTGAGTTTCTGGGAACTGCAGCATTTCCCCTTGTCCAGACACTGACACCCAAGTGGAAGCAGGTCATGTTATGCCCAGCTCAGCCACTGGCTGAATGAAGAGTCCCTGAGCATTCTCGGGATCTGGGCTGGTAGTGTGAGCTGAGTGCAGCCCGCCGTACCGAGGGTGCCAAGTGAACACAGCAGTGAGCCCAGAGCTGAATGAACCTCGGGCAGGGGCACCACTGGCTGTGGAGATTTCCAGCTGGCAAAGTGGCACTGAAAGAGTTAGGTGTCAGAAATACACGGGAAATCCCCCACTCACAAGAACCTATTTTTACCCCCATTGCCAATTTCTCTCAATGTTTTATATTATTTCATAAAAACTGAAATATTCATCGACACTATTTTCAGAATTGCTCTTTTTTCAGTAGTATTCTCTACAAATTTCAGCTTCTGCAAACTGACAACTAATGACTTAAATGCAGCTACAGATAACCACTTCAATTTTAGGAGTACATGTCTTAGACTGCATTTCACTCTTTCTTGCCCAATGTCCCTTTTTTGCGGATTCTTTGTTATGAACCAAGTGAAGAAAGATGGCATACTGGTAGTTTGAAGAGTTCTTTGCCAGCTTATAAAGATTTCAACACCTTAACCCTCATGAAGTTTGTGTGACTTTTCAGGATTTAGCATACAATAAAATCAAAACATTCATAGTGATATCCAATGGTAATAAAATCTTATTCTCTCTTTCTTTCCTTCCTTCTCTCACTCTTTCTCTCTCCATACCCTCCTCCTTTGCCTCCTTTTCTCTTTCACATATACTCACACACAATATAGCTATTAATAAGCAATTGTAGAATCATTCATATCTTGAACAATGAGATATGACTGCATTATTTTTAGTTAGAGTTCATTTTAAATATAAAATACTAGCAAATATAATCAGGTAATCACATAGCATAAACATGGCTTTATATACCTTGGAAATATTGGTTCTTTCTAATGTAAATGTACGATATATGCAACCAGGTTTCTTTAATGACAATGTCAATTGTTCACATTCTACAACTTTTCACATATAATTGTTTTCTCTAGTGATACCTTCATTAACAAGTAATTAAAACGATTTACATGCACTGTGTTGATAAACACTGAATTTGTGATTCTTGAATCATTTGGAAGATGGGAAATACGCATTATGCCAATAGGTAAAATCAAAATAATTAAGGCTAAAATGAATCATGTCAAACAGCAATTTCATGTTAACATGTTTTATTGATTCACCAACTTAATCCAATTACTGTGTAAACCATTCACAATGAAGTAATTTAATAGTTTATACACATTTAAAAACATGAGATTTAAGTATTCTGTGTATCTGCAAAACGAATTATTAGACTATAATTAATCGAAATAGCACCACATAATTTTGCATTCCAATCACGAAGATGTTTCTGTATTGTTTTCCAAATAAACTTCAGATGTAATTGAATAAAACATCATATTCATTATCAATCTGAAGGAGCCCACAAATCAGTTTTTTTTCCCCAAAACTTGTGCCCATGTTTGTTGACTACGTTTTTCCTGTAACAAAATAAAGATAAGAGAAATAGATTCATTATGTTAACACTGGGGGCCTGGAGATAAATACATTTCTAGGACATTTTAGGAGTGATTTTGTTTTCTGAACCAGCAAAAATCCCAGTGATTTCCTAAGAAAAAACGATTACTATTTTTGATTATGTTTTTCCCTTAAAGCCAATTATTCTCTTTTGTTTCTTATTTTATTTCAACTTGTTTATAATAGATATGGATTTAAATTACATATTTAAAAATAACAGCTACATTTTGACGGATAAGACTATAAAAAACTATAACACACTAAATGTATTAAAAACAAAATTTATAAAGGCATCTTTTAATAGCACAAGATTGCTGTTTTGTAAGACAAAACACATGCTGATAAAAAGATTAGCTCATATCCATTTGTCTGGTACAGTGATACTATACAAATCCTGGTGTTCCAAAAAATATTTGCTGAAGAGTTTTTTTAATGGAATATAAAAACATATTCGATAGAAGAATTCATTTCTCTAATTTGGCCATCTCCAATTTGGAAAATATAAAAAAAAATTAACAAATGGTAATATATGTTGAAGAATACAGCGAGAAAAGAGAGGAGGAGGAGAGGGTGAGAAGAACAAGAAGATAAGTAATTAGGGTGACTTTATAATCTTGGACTAAAAAAACAAACAGAAGACTGAATAGATTCTCATAAGTTTCTTGCAGAAGTTGCCAGAGTGTAAAGCATTCAACATGTTTTGAGATATTAAAAGGAAGAAAGTGTATGCAATCATTTTCATATAAATTTTTTCATTAAAATTATTACCACCTGGAGAAGTGTTCCTTGAAACACAAATGGAGGAAATGTGCTTAAGTTTTAAAAAGTGTGAGGCTGGGCGCGTTGGCTCACGCCTGTAATCCCAGCACTTTGGGAGGCCGAGGCGGGTGGATCAGGAGGTCAGGAGATCAAGACCATCCTGGCTAACACGGTGAAACCCTGTCTCTACTAAAAATACAAAAAAATTAGCCCAGCGTGGTGGCGGCCGCCTGTAGTCCCAGCTACTGGGGAGGCTGAGGCAGGAGAATGGCACCAACCCGGGAGGCGGAGTTTGCAGTGAGCCGAGATCGCACCACTGCACTCCAGCCTGGGGCGACAGAGCCAGACTCCGTCTCAAAAAAAAAAAAAAGTATGATACTCTCTACAGTCCACACTCACTTGTAATAATGAATTAGTAAAAAAGAAATAAGATAATGATTAAAAATAAGTAAATATTCTGGTATCTATAAAAAAGGCATTGTCCAAAATTGAATATAGAAATAGTGTTTAATATATAGATTACACAAGTTCTATTTTATATATATACTTTAAGTTCTGAGATACATGTGCAGAACGTACAGGTTTGTTACATTGGTATATATGTGCCATGGTGGTTTGCTGCAGCCATCAACCCGTCATCTACATTAGGTATTTCTCCTAATGCTATTCCTCCTCTTGCCCACCATCCCCCGACAGGCCCCAGTGTGTGATGTTCCCCTCCCTGTGTCCATGTGTTCTCATAGTTCAACTCCCACTTATGAGTGAGAACATGCAGTGTTTGGTTTTCTGTTCCTGTGTTAGTTTACTGAAAATGGTTTCCAGCTTCATCCATGTTCCTGAAATGGACATGAACCCATTCTTTTTTATGGCCACATAGTATTCCATGGTGTATATGTGCCACATTTTCTTTATCCAGTCTAACATTGATGGGCATTTGGGTTGGTTCCAAGTCTATGCTATTATGAATAGTGCTGCAATAAACATACGTGTGCATGTGTCTTTATAGTAGAATAATTTATAATCTTTGAGTACATACCCAGTAATGGGATTGCTGGGTCAAATTGTATTTCTAGTTCTAGATCCTTGAAGAATTGCCACACTGTCTGCCACTATGGTTGAACTAATTTACACTCCCACCAACAGTGTAAAAGCATTCACGTTTCTCTACATCCTCTCCAGCATCGGTTGTTCCCTGACTTTTTAATGATCGCCATTTTAACTGGCGTGAGATGGTATCTCATTGTGGTTTTGATTTGCATTTCTCTAATGACCAATGATGATGAGCTTTTTTCCATCTTTGTTAGCTGCATAAATGTCTTCTTCTGAGAAGTATCTCTTCATATCCTTAGCCCACTTTTTAATGGATTGTTTATTTTTTGCTTGTACATTTGCTTAAGTTCTTTGTACATTCTGGATGTTAGCCCTTTGTCAGATGGATAGATTGCAAAAATGTTCTCCCATTCTGTAGGTTGCCTGTTTACTCTGATTGTGGTTTCTTTTGCTGTGCAGAAGTTCTTTAGTTTAATTAGATCCCATTTGTCTATTTTGGCTTTTGTTGCCATTGCTTTTGGTGTTTTACTCATGAAGTCTTTGCCCATGCCTATGTCTTGAATGGTATTGCCTAGGTTTTCTTCTAGGGTTTTTATGCTTTTAGGTCTTAACATTTAAATCCTTACTCCATCTTGAGTTAATTTTTGTATAAGGTGTATGGAAGGGATTCCAGTTTCAGTTTTCTGCATATGGCTAGCCAGTTTTCCCAACCATTTATTAAATAGGGACTCCTTTTCCCATTGCTTTTTGTAAGGTTTGTCAAAGATCAGATGGATGTAGATGTGTGGTGTTATTTCTGAGGCCTCTGTTCTGTTCCATTGGTCTATATATCTGTTTTGGTACTGGTACAATTACCATGCTGTTTTTGGTTACTGTAGCCTTGTGGTATACTTTGAAGTCAGGTCGCATGATAACTCCAGCTTTGTTCTTTTTGCTTAAGATTGTCTTGGCTGTACAGGCTCATTTTTGGTTCCATATGAAATTTAATGCAGTTTTTTCTAATTCTGTGAAGAAAGTCAATGGTAGCTTGATGGAAATAGCATTGAATCTATAAATTACTTTGGGCGACATGGCCATTTTCAAGATATTGATTCTTCCTATCCATGAGCATGGAATGTTTTTCCATTTGTTTTGTCTTTTCTTATTTTCTTGAGTAGTGGTTTTTAGTTCTCCTTGAAAAGGTCCTTTACATCCCCTGTAAATTGTATTCCTAGGTATTTTATTCTCTTTGTAGCAATTGTGAATGGGAGTTTGCTTATGATTTGGCTCTCTGTTTGTCTCTTATTGGTGTATAGAAATGCTTGTGATTTATCAACATTGATGTTGCATCCTGAGACTTTGTTGAAGTTGCTTAGCAGCTTAAGGAGATTTTGGGCTGAGACGATGGGGCTTTCTAAATATATAATCATGTCATCTGCAAACAGAGATAATTTGACTTCCTCTCTTCCTATTTGAATACCATTTATTTCTTTCTCTTGCCTGATTGCCCTGGCCTAAATTTCCAATACTCTGTTGAATAGGAGTAGTGAGAGAGGGCATCCTTGTCTTGTGCCAGTTTTCAAAGGGAATGCTTCCAGCTTTTGCCCATTCAGTATGATATTGGCTGTGAGTTTGTCATAAATAGCTCTTATTATTTTGAGATTTGTTCCATCAATACCTAGTTTATTGAGTGTTTTTAGCTTGAAGGTGTGTTGAATTTTATCAAAGGCCTTTTCTGCAGCTATTGAGATAATCATGTGGTTTTTGTCATTGGTTCTGTTTATGTGATGGATTAAATTTATTGATTTGTGTATGTTGAACCAGTCTTGCATCCCAGGGATGAAGCCTACATGATCGTGGTGGATAACTTTTTAATGTGCTGTTGGATTCAATTTGCCAGTATTTTATTGAGGATTTTTGCATTGATGTTCATAAGGGATATTGGCCTGAAATTTTTGTTGTTGTTGTTATTGTGTCTCCACCAGGTTTTGTCATCAGGATGGTACTGGCCTCATAAAATGAGTTATGGTGGACTCCCTCTTTTTCTATTGTTTGGAATAGTTTCAGAAGGAATGGTACCAGCTCCTCTTTGTACCTCTGGTAGAATTTTGCTGTACATCTGTCTGGGCCTGGGCTTTGTTTGCTTGATAGGCTATTAATTACTGCCTCAATTTCAGAACTTGTTATCGGTCTGTTCAGGATTAGATTTCTTCTTGGTTTAGTATTGGGGGGGTGTAAGTGTCCAGGAATTTGTCCATTTCTTCTAGATTTTCAAGTTTAGTTGAGTAGAGATGTTTATAGTATTCTCTGATGGTAGTCTGTATTTCTGCGGGATCAGTGGTGAACTCCCCTTTATCATTTTTTACTGTGTCTATTTGATTCATCTCTTTTTTCTTCTTTATTAGTCTGGTAAGTGGTCTATCTATTTTGTTAATTTTTTCAAAAAACCAGTTCCTGGATTCATTGATTTTTTGAAGGGTTTTTTGTGTCTCCATCTCCTTCAGTTCTGCTCTGATCTTAGTATCCTGTCTTCTGCTAGCTTTTAAATTTCTTTGCTCTTGTTTCTCTAGTTCTTTTCATTGTGATTTTAGGGTGTCAATTTTAGATGTTTCTCGCTTTCTCCTGTGGGCATTTAGTGCTATAAATTTTCCTCTAAACACTGCTTTAGCTGTGTCCCAGAGATTCTGGTATGTTGTGTCTTTGTTCTCATTGGTTTCAGAGAACTTACTTATTTCTGCCTTAATTTTGTAATTTATGGAGTAGTCATTCAGGAGCAGGTTGTCCAGTTTCCATTCAGTTGCATGGTTTTGAGTGGGTTTCTTAATCCTGAGTTCTAATTTGATTGCACTATGGTCTGAGAACTGTTTGTTATGATTTCTGTTCTTTTGCATTTGCTGAGGAGTGTTTTACTTCCAATTATATGGTTGATTTTAGAATAAGTGCTATGTGGTGCTGAGAAGAATCTACATTCTTTTGATTTGTGGTGGGGAGTTCTGTAGATGTCTACTAGGTCGGCTTGGTCCAGAGCTAAGTTCAACACCTGAATATCCTTGTTAATTTTCTGTCTCATTGATCTAATAGTGACAATGGGGTGTTAATATCTCCCACTATTATTGTGTGGGTGTCTAAGTCTCTTTGTAGGTCTCTAGGAACTTGCTTTATGGATCTGGGTGCTTCTGTATTGGGTGCATATACATAGCTCTGTGGGTGTGTGATCCACTGAGCTAGACCACTTGGCTCTGGCTTCAGCCCTCTTTCCAGGGGAGTGAATGGTTCTGTTTTGCTAGCATTGCAGGTGCCACTGGGGTACAAAAATAGAAAATAAAAATAAATTTAAAAAACTCCTAGCTGGGTGTCTGCCCAAATGGCCCCCAAGTTTTGTATTTGAAACTCAGGGCTCTTGTGGTGTAGGCACCCTAAGGAACCTCCTGGTCTGTGGGTTGTGAAGACCGTGGGAAAAGTGTAGTATCTGGGCTGGAGTGCACCATTCCTCATGGCACAGTTCTCTTGGCTTTCCTTGGCTAGAGGAGGGAGTTCCTTGACCCTTTGTGCTTCCTGGGTGAGGCAGCGCACCATCCTGCTTCTGCTCACCCTCTGTGGGCTGTACACACTGTCTAACCAATCCCAGTGAAATGAGCCAGGTACCTCAGTTGGAAATGCAGAAATCACCTACCTTCTGCATTGGTCTCCCTGGGAACTACAGACTGGAGCTGTTCCTATTCCACCATCTTGCTTGGGAGTCCCACAAATTCTTATTAATAGAAATATTTAAAATATGCTATAAGATAATGTTAGAAAATATCAAACTGATTAAATATTTGATTTTTTAAAAATTATTTCAAGGAAGCTTTTTTCAGTGACAAAATGGTTGTAAAACAATGTGACTGAAGGAAGTATTCATAAAAAAAGTTAAAATTGACACATAGTCTTCTTGTCATTAGCAGTCCGAGACCAAATACATTACGAGTGACTTCATGAGGGCAAATGTACCCAGAAATCTCTAGTGTATTTTCCTTTGTTTTTCTTTAAAATGATTACATGAAAAAAGCAATTTGTTTACATTCTGGTGTGTCTGAAAGCCCTTTTTTTCCATTGAAACACACACAATCTGTCTCACACAAATAAAGCTGTTTCACATAACTGAATAAATTTAAGAAACCAAAATCCATGATCTCCTGTCTGCTTGAAGCCTCTCCAAGCTACTGAATTAAAATAATGTCTTACAGTCCCTTTGAAGGTCAGCTATACTTAAAGTATTTGAATTCCTTGAAATTTCTCTGACCTTTACACTAAATTCCTCTTTGATTTGCCTGAGTTGAGAGTAACCACTTTTTTCTCCAAATACCTGAAGAAGATATGGAGATATAGTTAGGAGCTAAATTAAATGTTTGTCATAAGAAAAACAAAAATACTAGTTAAATTTATTAAATGTAGTGAAATGATCATTTCCCCTGGAAACACCAGTTTGTTAATGTTAACAATATTAAAATGAAATAGAACTAGTCTAAATTAATCAAGACAAAGAAAATAGAAAAACAGTTCATATTTTCCCATAGAATTGAAGCTTTTCAAGAAAAAAAGCATAAATGGAGTGGAAGGTAACTACTAGAAAGAAAACATAGACTACATTAGAAGATGGTGATGGAAAAAATTGACCTCTCCCTTGGACCTCTTGATTCTTTAAGAGGTTTAGGACAAAACTCCGGGAAACTGATTGAAAGTTGCACGAAGCATTTGTGTCTCCAAGTTTCTTTGTTCATCCAGCAGAACCAAGTCACTACTTCCCTAAGAGATTAAAACTTACTTATTCTCAGAAGAAATTTACCTGAGATGTTTCAGATTTGGAGACAACAAAGGCACACAGAAATGGCACTCTTGAGGCAGCAGGGAGCTAAAGCATGGGATTCTGTGACTGTCTAACCCCCGGGGCATCTGGGTTGCTTCCCTCTTGCCTCCTAGTAGAACTTGACAAACACCCTCAGCCCAGATATGAATAAAAATATAATAATGTTGAGGATAACAGTGTGTATGAAAACAATGTTTTGGGGATTGGTGTGTGAATTTCCAAAGTGGAAAACTTGAACATTTTATTGTAGATGGCAATCTCAAAATAACAAAAGAAGGACTAGTAAATAAATTGACATGCAAAGTATTTGACACTGTTGCAAAGAAAAATGGAATAAAAAATAACTTCATTTCTTATAAGAAAAAATGTAATACTGTTTAAAAAACATCAAATTGACGGGTATATTTGTTCACTCTCCTCAAAATGTGACTACACGCGTTTGAAAATAACCCCTTTGCCTTTCCATACTCACTTACATTTTAGATGTAGTGAATTGTGTAATGATGATAAAGCCAATTCATTTATTCAATGACAATGGAGGTTGCAGAGATAATAGGGTTTGATAAAGATTTTTAGATGGTTTTCTAATCAAAATGAAAAATGCCAGAAGTCATAGGTTATCTCTAGACATTAATGAATAATCAATTATAATTTTTAAAAAGTGGACTGATTCATCTGCCAGTTCACAGGGTAACAGCAATTTTTAAAAAATGTTGATTCACATTGTTTCAATGTGAAGCAGGGGAGCAATTCACTGACTAGTGTAAAAATTAGTATTTAGTGTTGTGATAGGCTGATTAAAGGGCCCTCAAAAGAGAGTCTGTTCTAATCCCTGGAACCTCTGAATATCACTTTATACTTAAAAAAATGAACTTTTCACATGTGTCAAATTAAGGATTTTGAAATGGTGCTATTATCTTGGATTATCATCCTTGTGGCCTCTAAATGCAATCACAGTGTCCTTGTAAGAGAAAGGTAGAGGGAGATGACAGTCAGAAGAAGACAAGGCAATGGTACCATGAAGGCAGTGATTGTGGTGATGCTATCACTAGCCAAGGAATGCCGGAAGCCATCAGAAACTGAGGGAGGTGAGAAACAAACAGTCTCTAGAGCCTCCCGAAGTAGGGCAGTCATGCTGATAACACCTTGACTTTGGCGCAGTGAAACTGATTTTAGACTCTGGCTTCCTGAGTTTTGTGAGGGAATAAATTTCTGTTGATTTAAGTCACTAATGTTGTAGTAAATTATCATGGAAGTCATAAGAAACTAATGTGAATATGTGATTGGGAAAATTCAATCAGTATCTTAACTACTTTGACATATTGTATTGTGTCATGCTCTGTAAGTCTTCTCAATGTCTGTATGTAATACAGGTCCGAGCATCACGAGTGACATTCGGAACATACTTAAATTCCCAGAGGAAAAATAAAATAAGATTTCCTTGAGTAGAGTCACTTTAGAAAATTGAATAGTTATTTTTCTATTTCAAGCTCAATGCTTGATATATTTTTTTTCAAAACTAAATCCTCCACATTTTAACAGATGTTCACTGCAGAATCTTGTTTAGTCAGTAAAGTGCTTGCTTTCCTCTTAACTGATTTTTTAAAAAATATTACTTCTGTTTAACTTCTAAATATAGTTTATTGTTTCACAGAAATTCCAGAAATCCATGATGATATATAATACCTACCATGCACATTTTCATTTTTGCTATACATTACTTGAGCTTATAAATAATTATAAGATATTAAGTGCATTTCTGGGAAAAATGTTTAATGAGTAAAGGGTGGCTAATTATCCCAATGATAATTTCTGATTTTTCATATGCAAATATGCAAACTATATATTCAAAAAAACAGTAAGTTTGAATCATAGGCCATGGGTTGACCAACATACCCATGAGTAGTCTAAAGCAATATGATTTAATAGATTTTTACATAGGTATGAAATTACTGATTTACTAATGTATATGTTTCTTCCAAATCAGTCAATAGCCTCTATTCCAATTTTCTTGGTATTTACCTAAAAAGCATAGATGCATTTATAAGCCACCCCTTTTTCTGTCACTCATAATGAGATAAATGCATAAATGCATTTATAAGTGCATTTATAAATGCAAAAAGCACAGATGCATTTATAAGCCATTCCTTTTTCTGTCACTCATAAGATAAATGACCTATAAAAGAAGCAGCAACAGGAAGTTGCACTTCAAAAAACATATGACTTAGTTGTGCTCCCCAAAAGTAAAGTGTGAATTTTAGCAGAGTATAAAAATAAATAGCCAAAAATTGCCTTTTTAACTAAAGACAATTACCTTTTTAATTAAGGAAAAACAATATACAGAGCTATTTTAGAAATTGCCACTGTGCTACATACTAGGGGAACACAGATGAATGAGAAGAGGAACAGGTGCTAAGGAGCTCAGAATATGACTAACTTATGACTTCCTATACCATCCTATGACAGAGATAAGAAATCACTGCTATGGAAACAGAACTGGGTAGCAAATAATTTGATTATGAGGAAAAGCCGGTCTAGAAAGCTCAGAGAGAAAGTGATGTTATTATGGCTATTATGGGGAGATGAAGAAAATATTCTGGACATTGAACAAACAAAAAAACAAAAAATATATATGGCATTTCCTTAGCCTGCTTGATAATTTTATATACTATATTATGAATAGAAGTTGTTGGAAGAAGAGGGTCTGCTTTTTTTTTTTTTTTTTTTTTTTTTTTGAGATGGAGATTCACTCTTGTTGCCCAGGCTGGAGTGCAGTGGTGTGATCTCAGCTCACTGCAATCTCTGCCTCCCAGGTTCAAGAGATTCTCCTACCTCAGCCTCCCAAGTAGCTGGGATTACAGGTGCCTGCCACCAAGCCCAGCTAATTTTTTGTATTTTTAGTAGAGATGGGGTTTCGCCATGTTGGGCAGGCTGGTCAGGATCTGCTCTTTTAATAAAGAAAAAGAGAAGTAATTTGGAGATAGACTGTAAAAAAGAATGAACACTATGATAAATAATAGTAAACACAAGTAAGGTGTTGTTGATTGTTTCTATATTTGTTGTATTGCTGCATTTCTGAATTATTTAATTGAATTGAGCAGACGAGTAGTTTATCCAGTGTCATATAACAATGGACGGTCTTCACTGTGGACTGTAAAATTGAGAGTATGAGCTAATGCCAAGCTGCTATTAGAATTCAAAGTGAAAAATTGATAGTTCTGTGACCTTTTAAAAAAAAACTTGCCAAACTATTAGAAATTCTTTGATTGTCAGTAACATACATAAAAAGGAATGAAGAGACAGTAAAAGTAATATTTATTTAGTGTATGCTAAATGGAAATACTTGAAACATTGACAAACAATTTGTTTAAAAACAAGAAGTATGAAGAGTAGTTCAAACATTGATTACCTTCTCCTTTTATATGGAACAAGGGTCTTTTCCATGCCTTAGTGAATTGCCATCCTTTCTTCTAGGTTTGAGTCAGCTTTCAACATTTTATCTCTTTTGCTTCTAATATTGTGAAAATCCTTCAGTAGCTCCTCTAACGTGATATTTGTTTTCAGGAGTTACTTACTCCAGCACATCTCATTACAGCCACTTTTCTCATTTATGCTGGTAACTTGGCCCTCATTAAGTTCCTCTGGCTGCATGTCTGGTGTCTCTAAAGAAAGCAGCATCAACATTTCCATGTCTACTATCTTCTAATCACATTCAATTTCATTTCCATTGTTACCACTTTTCTGTCCTTTGCTACACCTTCATCTTTGTTGACCTATTACCTCTTTTGATTACTCATTTTTGTAAAATGTCACTTGGGCTTAACACTGGGAGACAAGGTAGTAACACAAATATGTATTTTCTGTTTGTATGTGAACTGAATCACAGATGCACAGTGACCAATCCCTGACAGTCTTTGAGAGAAGTGGGGTGATTTCATCACTGATCATGAGACACATCTGATATCTTTGCAGTGATGTCTGGACTAAAGAGCTAGCAGCAACGTTTATACAATTACTCACAGTTGATATACCCAAGTAAATTTCATTTCAACCTTGTTATTAGGGAAGTGGTGTTATATAAATACACTGCAGTAACTGAATTTCATATATGTCAGAGCCTGCAAAGATAAGAAGGTTATATTGTAAAATACCAACAAGATTGCTGGGATGCCAAATAAATGTAAAATATAAAACTGAAGTATCAATACTCATTGTTAAAGGTATAATATAAAATATAAAATTTCAACAATATTCAACACATCGTAATGTTATTAAACTGAGATAAACACATAAAAAATGTTTAGCCTTTTGAGTACCCTGAAGGATGCTGCGTTTGGGATCTTCAAGCCTGTGTTCTGGAGTTATTCTGCACTCCCTCTCTCTGATCTGGGACTGTGTGGTTCACTAGTAACTCTACCCTATCTATTTATACTTTGCATGGAGCTCCTGGGACTGACCAGAAGAACTGCCTTTTCTTCTCCAACCACCGTTCTGCGCTTTGCTGGTCTGTTTTCCATCTGAACCCTCTAGGCTTGCACAAGCAGATCCTCAAGTCCTAGTCTAACTCCATCCATTCTTCTCTAGCTCACAATCCAGAAGATTCAAAAGACCAAACTCTTCCCTGTGTCATAGCTGGCCCTTCCTGCCTTCTTTGGCCTCATCTCCTCCTGCTGGTTTTTTTTTTCCCCTGACCTCTCATGACAGTGGCTCAGGTCCTGGCCGTTTTCACCTCTATGCTTTTGCAGTTCCCACCTTCGGGGGCATCTTTCTTTTGTGCTCCCTTCCCTTATAACAGCTCAGAGCAAGAGTCCAGTTCCCCCATCCAGACCCCTGTGGGGATCAGCACCCATGTTGAGCTGGGTCTGCGGTCCAGCCACCTGGGGAGGTGCTCTCTCCCCGATGTGGCTCCTTGTGGTGGCTCATTTATCTCCCTGTCTGCTGACCTCCCCTAGTGCTTGGAAATCAATCTTGGGACTCAGTCTTTTCCTAGGTGGGGGGTGGGAGGGAAGGGCATGGGCAATCCTCTCCTCTCCACCCCACACCCAAGCCCCAACACCTTCTCTCTCTCCAAAGATACTGGCTTTCGCCTCCAAGGACCCCACTAACCCCACCACCCAGCTCCTAGACCTTCCCTGGTCTCCCACAGAAGTGTTGAGACGCACTGGTCCCCACACTCTTTGGCCAGGAATACCTTCGAGAAACAAGCAATATGGCGACCCCTGCTGAAAGGCAGACAATTGAACGTCTCCGTTTCCCTTTTTCCAGCTAAACACTGAAAGTTCTACCTAGAGAATCTTTACATTCATTATGTAATGGGCCTCCAGCTTCCTGGGCTCCTGCAGCAAAACCCTGTCTCCTACTTTCCCAGGGATGGAAGCAGAGGTCCTGGAAACCACTCTGGCTGGGTCACCCAAAACCTGGGTAGGGATGGCCAGCAAACATAATAATCATGCTATTTATTTATGCAAATGAACAACAGCAATACATCCTAGTTACTCATAAAAATAAAGTTTACTTCAGCAACTCACTTTAACATGAGTTTCCCCTAATCCTCTCCCAAGGTTGGCTTCCTATCTTCTTAAAAACAAACAAACAAACAAACAAAAACTATCTTAAGTTTTATCATTCAAATAAATCTCAAGACATAAATGTTCAATAGTCTAGAGTTGACAATGATGCATATCACTTATTTAAGCATTTATAGTTAAACATATGAATTTGTTATCATAAAAATAATGATATAGGAAAGACCAAGCTTTAACTCTCTCACTTCCTCTCCAAGATCTGACAGAAGTGTTCAAAGGAAAATAAACATGACAATAAAATGGGGGGTGGGGTAGTTAATCAATGTGAAAACAAGTGAATTAAGATAAAGCAATTATTCAAAATTCAAATAATTTCTGTAGGTAAATGACAGAGGATTTGTAATGAAGGGAACCAGTAAATATTAATGTCTACCTTACAGATGGCAAGAACATTGTGAGAAGTTATAGGAAGAAGAAGGAAATTCTGACAAACCTCGAAGCATCAAATAAACTGTAGGGCTGAGGATCAGAGTCAATGAGAGACAATTGCAATTCTTACCTTTGTGAAAGAAAAATAAATCTTCAGGCCCCCAAATCACGAAGCTAAAGGGAAAAGTCAACCTGGGAACTGCTTAGGCCCAATCTTTCTCTCATTCTATTCAAAGTCAACCCTCTGTTCACTGAGATACATACGTATCTGAGTGCCTCCTTTAGAGGGGCTCATCAGAAACTCAAAATAATGCAACCATTTGTCTCTTATCTACCAATGACCTGGAAGACCCCTCCCCACTTTGAGTCTTCCTGCCTTTGCTTTGAGTTGTCCTGTCTTTCCAGAAGGAACCAATGTTCATCTTGCATATATTGATTGATGTCTCATGTCTCCCTAAAATATTTAAGACCACCTTGGGCACATGTCGTGAGAACCTCCTGAGGCTGTCTCACAGGTGTTCGTCCTCAATCTTGGCAAAATAAACTTTCTAAATTAACTGAAACCTGTCTCAGATTTTCTGAGTTCACACCTTTTAGTAACAATTGTTGAATTCAAAGGCTGTAGCTGCAGGGTTAAATGATTAAACACTAGGATGAAACATTTGCTCCACATTAATTCTCTACAGAAATAAAGGCTCACTTCCATGTGGAGGAAATCTTTTGGAATTAGAAGAAATTCCATTAGTTTGGAGAAATGGGACTAGGGAAGAAGAGAGTGCCAGCAATCAGAAAAGTGAAAATTACTCTACCCAAAACTACTTTTGCTCAAATAGTCTAACAATATTTAGATTTAAAAGTCTTGAATATACACAGGGAAGAGTTTTAAGCAGTGAAATTTAAGTTATTTACAAATTTGGTTATGGAAACTAGAATGAAAATATCACTTACTGGCACAGTTGGAGGAAAAGCAAGCACTGCTTTCTTTTTTAATGTTTAAAAACTATACACCGTTTCTTTGAAATATACTCTGGCCATGACATTTTTGTAGGTTAGCCTTAACAATTTCAGGTACTTACTGTGTTCCTTCTCTAGCTTCAGAGTGAAAGGACAAGCTATTTATCACGCTAGGTGGTTCACAGGGCCTGGTGGAAATAAGGCTACCTTATGTTCACCATTTCCATCAAGAACCACAATGTTTGAAAATAATTTGTTGCACAATACATTCTACAAAGACAATGGGGAAATTGCTAGAATTCTACTTACCACAACATTGAGAATAGTTTCCTTTGTAGAGAGGTCATATTCCTCCAGTAAGAATGAAGGATTTGGGGTTTTTGAGGTGGATTTCATGATTGACAGCAACATGTAGGAAATGCCACACATCACAGGTAAACTGTGGAGACAGAATCACATTTTGGTTTCAGATTATTTTTACAATTTTCATTGAAAACATAAATTTTATTGTGTTAATATGTAAACAATATTGACTTGTTATTGGTATGTCATAGGCAAATATCTGTTCATTATTTTCACTGTTAATAAATTGATTTAAGTAAAATAATTAAAATAAGAAGCCACTGGGGGCAGTCTAAAGGGAAGAAACAACCAATTTCAAAGTCATACATAGATTTACAGGAAGGACTTGACACACTTACTCTAGCGCAGATTATATATATTTGATGAGGAGGTCCACATTGTGGTAGAGATTTGGTGGTCAGTCCTGACCAAACCTTAGAGGGTATTTATGAGACACCACAAAATAGAGGTTATGGGTTTTTTTTCTGTTTTGTGATCAGTTTGCTTGTTTTAGCACTCAGGGCTTTTTATTTGTTGTTCAATTTTTTGAATTTTTTTAAGTCAGAAAGATCTCTGGGTTATCTCATGTGCTAAGGAAAAACTATTTTGGTTTTTCTAACTTTAATAGTTAGTATTTGTAGGGGAGGCAATCAGGAAAAGATATGCCATTAACTGTTAGCAGTGTGAAATCTGTAAGACTTAGTCTCTGTGATCTCAACCAAAGCCTTCTGAGTCCTGGAACTTTGCTTTGGGACGATCTTACTTTACCCATTTATATGCTGTACTTAACAGTTTGTAGCTAATTTACAGGGGTCATATCTTTTATATCATTCATGAATAGCCTTTTTTTAAAAAGTAATAATCCCTGTTGAATACAAAAATGGAAATGGAAAATTTATAATCATAACCCCCCTTATAAGTTTGTAATGCTTGAAGCACTACCTCTTAAGATGATAAATTTATAAATGAGAATTTTGATTTAAACTATTAAACTATTGTTAAATAAACACCAATTCTATAAAAAATTAAGAACACATAATGATTGACAAAGGATGACAAAAATATACATATTTATAAATATTTTCCAATGTACCCATTTAGCAGATCATAAGTTTATACCTATAGTAGCTAAGGTATAATTACTTTAGTAAAGTCTTTCCCACTTTAGGTTCTATATATTATACACCTCCATTGAAGTTTCTGTTTCTCTTTCCTAGCACTCATAACAGTACTAATATTTTCTCATCTTCATCTGCCAAGACTATGTATCTACTTCATTGTCCTGGTTCTCACCTCCTCTCCCTGGTTTCAAAGCCAGGCATAGATTTCAGGGACTATCACAAGCAAATCCCTGATGGAACATTGAATCACACATTCTTCAGTCAACCCAACTAAACATAAAAAGTCTGTAAAAAGGTCTGAGCTGCCACTCAAGAGACAGAGTTTGCAGTTTTATCCCTGTTTATTTCTGGTTTAATAATAAAAACTATAATTTTCAAAGCATAGTGCTGAATTCAGAGTAATCACAATATAATATTCACAATATCCGGGCAAGATCAGAAATTGCTCAACATAAAAAAAGAAAAATATTAGCGATTCTCAAGAGAAAAAACATCAAAAAAGAGTAACACTAGGTGTATTTGTCAAGGTTCTCTAGAGGGTCAGAACTAATAAGATAGATGTATATATGAAAGGGATTTTGTTAAGGAGTATTGACTCATGCCATCACAAGGTGAACTACCACAATAGGCCATCTGTAAGCTTTGGAGCAAGGAAGCCAGTCCAAGTCCCAAAAGTAGGGAAGCCAACAGTGCAGCCTTCAGTCTGTGGGTGAAGGCCCAAGAACCCCTGGCAAATCACAGGCTAAGTCCAAGAGTTCAAAAGCTGAAGAACTTGCAGTCTAATATTCAAGGGCAGGAAGCATCCAGTACAGGAGAAAGATGAAGACTGGAAGACTCAGCAAGTCTGCTCTTCCATCTTCTTCTGCCTGCTTTATTCTAGCTGTGCTGGCAATTGATTAGATGATGCCCACTCAGATTGAGGGTGGGTCTGCCTCTCCCAGTCCACTGACTCAAATGTTAATCTCCTTTGGCAACACCCTCACAGACAAACAGAAATAATACTTAACATCCTTCAATCCAATCAAGTTTACACTCAGCATTAACCATCATACTTTAACTTTCAGCTTCCTCTCTAGTAAACAAATCTAGATAAGGAAATACAAAGATAGGCATATCTTTGACTGGTATGGCATTACTTGAGAAATTTCTTTGTAAAATTTCATTGATTTTTTTTTCATCAACAGTAAAAATGTTGACTGCCTTCACCCTAATGAGTATTGAATCTAGTCTCAAATTCAATTTAGTTGCCTTCTCAGCTCTTTCATTCTGTGACTGTAGACTGATGCAATGTGTTTTGTTTAGCTATACTTTCATGCTCCTTCCTGCAATTAGATTATAGGTATTATAGCCTATATTCATGCATCATTTTCTACTGCTTTTAATCAAACTATCATTTAATTGTTCATATACTCTTCTTTTTTTACAATGACCTGTGTCTGATTTGTTGATGCTAGACAGAAAATCAAATGACAAATTTGGAGCTAAAGTGTAAAGTACAATATAACATTGTTTTAAGAGACAGATTATGAAATAAAGTTAGGAGGTAATCTCTAGGAATAAACCCCTTGTAATTAAGAGCAAACATGAAGTAGATTACTCTGTAGTAGTACCACTTCCTACGTGGAGGTTCGAATCGAGTTGAAATTGGAAAGAATTCTGAAGTGTAGAAATGGTTGCAGAGTTTTCTCTTTCTATTTAGTCTTCACTATTCAACCCTTTTGGCCTTGGCAGAAGGTATCAATTGGCACTAAGGACATTAACAAATATCCATATCTAATATCTGTGCTACATCAAGCCTTGTGCTAAAAGGCCTCGGCTACATATATTTTGATCTTAGAACTAACATATGTGTTCCTCTGTTTCACAAAACAGGAATTGAAAAGTAACTCAATGGAAAAAGTTGGGTCCAGATGACTTATAAACAGTAATGTTTGTAAAAATGTAAATGTCATATGCACCATCTCACAATTCAAAACTTTTGTGGAAAAGCCAAAACTCAATACTTACGTATAGAATAGAGTTTTCTTTTTGTATTGTCAAATTTTTTGATTGTTAAGAAATAAAAGTTTGCTATAGCTATCTTAAGCAGAAGTAGACTTTATTGGAACTCAAAATAAGTTAGATTGTCAGGCTTGTGAAATGGGCAGAAACCATGGAAACGTGGTGGGATAAAAAAGCACGAAGCAGAAACAACCTAGCCAATATAACACCACCCTAACTTCAGGATATAATTAACGCTGCTTGCACAAATGTAAACCTGCACCTCTTGCCTCACACTTAACTCTGGAGGAACATTGTCTGACCCTGACTAGGTCACGTTTCTATCCTCTGGACAAAGCAGACAGCAAAAAATTACAGATCTTGGCCGGGCGCAATGGCTCACGTCTGTAATTCCAGAACTTTGGGAGGCCGAGGCAGGGGATTACCTAAGGTTGGGAGATGGAGACCAGCCTGGCCAACATGGTAAAACCCCCTCTCTACTAAAAATATAAAAATTAGCCAGGCATGTGGTGGCAGGTGCCTGTAATCCCAGCTACTCAAGAGGCTTAGGCAAAATAATCGCTTGAGCCCTGGAGGTGGAGGTGGCAGTGAGCCAAGATTGTGCCCCATTGCACGCCAGCCTGGGCAACAGAACAAGACTCTGTCTCAGAAAAAAAAAAAAAAAAAAGCCATTACAGATCTTGGCTTCTGTGATGGGAAGCATGAAACACATACTTGGGACAACACAGACTAATTACAGCATATTACAGAAAAATGAAAAGTATACATATATTTAGAAAATGTTAGAAATGTCCAGAAATTAGTTTCTTACTGATAATTATATTGTAGTATGTTTAAATATAAATAAAGTTTTTGAAAATTTCTTGGCTCTGTATCATTCTTCTCAAATCCCTGGGGCAGACCACGGAGATGACTGTCCTTTATTCTGGATAAATAAATATGCATGGTGCATTCTAGATACCGCATCTTAGAGAAAGAATATGGTAAATATTTGTAATAATGACTACAACACAACCTATCCTCATTTTTTCTCACTTTCAAACCTGCAAATAAGAGTCACTTCTCCATGATTTGAACAATTCCTTCTCCATTTCATCTCATTTTGAGACCAGATTCCTGATTGAAAATGCATTGTGCTACAGAAAATGAATGAATGAATGAATAAGACTCTAAGGAATAATATACGAGTTTGTCTTGTCTCTTTAGAGCTAGAGAATTTCGAGTATTGTTTCTTGACCACATTTTCAAAGGTTCTATATTCTTTTAGTTGAAGGCCTTCACCTACTCTACTTCCCAGTTGTTTCTCAGTCATCCACCTGGATAAATGCTGATTGCATAACATGGCATAGCATCAATTTTATTTCATAAATGTAAAAAACAATTATGTTATAAACATATGAGAAAATGAAATTGAATTGATGAAAATTTTAATTCAAGTTATTCCTTTATGTATCCAATATCCCTCTGCTTTGTAAGGCAAAATCCTTAATTTAGAAAGTAACATTAATGAGTAGATTTTAAACAAGCTGTTACATTAGCAAGATTCTGTTCTCAGTACCGTGATTTATCTTACCTACGACCTAGGTCAGATTACATAAAACAGTACTTCAAGGGTGCTATAATCTGTTTTTCAAGCCAATCTTTTGAGCACAAAGTGTAGTACTGATGATATGATGTGAATGTTTGTTTCCCTAAATCTCATGTTGAAATGCAACGCCCAGCATTGGTGGAAAGACACAGGATCATGGGGGTGGCTTTCTTATGAATGGTTTAGTACCTTCCCTTTGCTGCTGTTCTCATGATAGTGAGTGTGTTCTCATGAGATTTGATGGTTTAAAAGTGTGTGACACCTCCCTTCCTTCATTGTCTCTCTTTGCTCCTGCTCTGACCATGTGAAATGCTGGATCCCCCTTTGCCTTCTGTCGTGATTGTAAATTTCCTGAGGCCTCCCCAGAAGCCAAACAGATGCCAGCATCGTACTTCCTGTATAGCCTGTGGAACTGTGAGCCAGTTAAATCTCTTTAAAAATGACCCAGTCTCAGGTATTTATTTATTGCAATGTGAGAATGGACTAATGCAATCAAGTGAAATTTGAGAGAGAAGTGTAACATTGGAAAAAGCAGTGACAGAAAATCAAAAGCCTGAATTCTATATTTGTATATGTTTGTAAGAGAAAGAAAAAAAGGACTGAATAACTGAAAGACAGTCTTTACAACCTCAATGGAAGTTATAATGTATTAATAGTAATAATACCCATGATAGTATATATACAACTTTAAAATTCCAAAATTGAGTAAATATGAAACTATATACTTCATAACCATTGCAGTATTTTCATCCAGTGTTCTCTGTAAAAACAGTTTTGCTCTATAAGTGTTATATAAGGGCCAAACATTAGGTGGTTAATAAATAAGAATCCTAAAATAGGCTAAGATGTATTACCATATAATTTTCCAAAGGGTCTGTATAAGTTTAAAATTCCATTTTATTTATCGGCCATCTTGTTATAGCTATTTGGAAGGGTATTTTGCAGGTATAATTGATCTAAAGATTATATTAATCATTCTTAAGTTTTCACAATCTACTTAGATTTAATATTGTATCATATCACATATAATATAGCAACCATGAAATCCTATGGGTCCATTAACTAAGCCCCAGTCTGTAATTCATGCTATAGTTATCTTATGGAACCTGTCTACATATATTAGAAACTCACCACTCCCATACACAAACAAACTATGACATTTTTAAAAACATTCTTTCTGCTTTTAAAGAAATGAAAAGAAAAAGTATATTTTATGTGTATCTAGGTATATCTCATCTTTTGTTATCTTTATTTCTCCAGATCTTAGATCTTCATGAAGATCTGGTATTATTTTCTTACAATGTAGAATGTCCATTAGTGTATCTTGAGGTGAAAATTTGCTGTCAATAAATTCTCTAAGCTTTGGCTTATCTAAGAATCTGTTTATTTCACCTACTGTTTCAATGATATTTTTGCTGAATATTGACTTCTGAGTTTACAGGTTATTTTTCTCTCCATGCATTGAAGAGGCTGGTCTACTATCTTCTGACCTTTATGATTTTTGATGAATATTTACTGGTAATCTAAATTTTTCTTCCTTTATGTGTATTATGGCATTTTCTCTATTTTTACAATATTGTATTTATATTTTTTTTAATTTAAACTTGCAACAAATAAGGCTTCAGACGATCAAACTACTCCGAGCTACAGGAGGAAATTCAAACCAATGGCAAAGAAGTTAAAAGCTTTGAAAAAAAAATTAGACGAATGGATAACTAGAATAACCAATGCAGAGAAGTCCTTAAAGGACCTGATGGAGCTGAAAACCAAGGCACGAGAGCTACGTGATGAATGCAGAAGCCTCAGTAGCCAATGCGATCAACTGGAAGAAAGGGTATCACTGATGGAAGAAGAAATGAATGAAATGAAGCAAGAAGAGGAGTTTAGAGAAAAAAGAATAAAAAGAAATGAACAAAGCCTCCAAGAAATATGGGACTATGTGAAAAGACCAAATCTACGTCTGATTGGTGTACCGGAAAGTGACGGGGAGAATGGAACCAAGTTGGAAAACAATCTGCAGGACATTATCCAGGAGAACTTCCCAAATCTAGCAAGGCAGGCCAACATTCAAATTCAGGAAATACAGACAATGCCACAGAGACACTCCTCGAGAAGAGCAACTCCAAGACACATAATTGTCAGATTCACCAAAGTTGAAATGAAGGAAAAAATGTTAAGGGCAGCCAGAGAGAAAGGTCGGGTTACCCTCAAAGGGAAGCCCATCAGACTAACAGCTGATCTCTCGGCAGAAACTCTACAAGCCAGAAGAGAGTGGGGACCAATATTCAACATTCTTAAAGAATTTTCAACCCAGAATTTCATATCCAGGCAAACTAAGCTTCATAAGTGAAGGAGAAATAAAATACTTTACAGACAAGCAATGCTGAGAGATTTTGTCACCACCAGGCCTGCCCTAAAAGAGCTCCTGAAGGAAGCACTAAACATGGAAAGGAACAATTGGTACCAGCCACAGCAAAAACATGCCAAATTGTAAAGACCATCGAGGCTAGGAAGAGACTGCATCAACTAAGGAGCAAAATAACCAGCTAACATCATGACAGGATCAAATTCACACATAACAATATTAACCTTAAATGTAAATGGGCTAAATGCTCCAATTAAAAGACACAGACTGGCAAATTGGATAAAGAGTCAAGACCCATCAGTGTGCTGTATTCAGGAAACCCATCTCACGTGCAGAGACACACATAGGCTCAAAATAAAGGGAGAGAGGAAGATCTACCAAGCAAATTGAAAACAAAAAAAGGCAGGGGTTGCAATCCTGGTCTCTGATAAAACAGACTTTAAACCAGCAACGATCAAAAGAGACAAAGAAGGCCATTACATAATGGTAAAGGGATCAATTGAACAAGAAGAGCTAACTATCCTAAATATATATGCACCCAATACAGGAGCACCCAGATTCATAAAGTAAGTCCTTAGTGACCTACAAAAAGACTTAGACTCCCACACAATAATAATGGGAGACTTTAACACCCCACTGTCAACATTAGACAGATCAACGAGACAGAAAGTTAAGAAGGATACTCAGGATTTGAACTCAGCTCTGCACCAAGTGGACCTAATAGACATCTACAGAACTCTCCACCACAAATCAACAGAATATACATTCTTTTCAGCACCACACCATACCTACTCCAAAACTGACCACATAGTGGGAAGTAAAGCACTCCTCAGCAAATGTAAAAGAACAGAAATTATAACAAACTGTCTCTCAGACCACAGTGCAATCAAACTAGAACTCAGGATTAAGAAACTACTCAGAACTGCTCAACTTCATGGAAACTGAACAACCTGCTCCTGAATGACTACTGGGTAAATAAGGAAATGAAGGCAGAAATAAAGATGTTCTTTGAAACCAACAAGAACAAAGACACAACATACCAGAATCTCTGGGACGCATTCAAAGCAGTGTGTAGAGGGAAATTTATAGCACTAAATGCCCACAAGAGAAAGCAAGAAAGATCTAAAATTGACACCCTAACATCACAATTAAAAGAACTAGAAAAGCAAGAGCAAACACATTCAAAACCTAGCAGAAGGCAAGAAATAACTAAGATCAGAGCAGAACTGAAGGAGATAGAGACACAAAAAACCCTTCAAAAAATTAATGAATCCAGGAGCGGGTTTTTTGAAAATATCAACAAAATTGATAGACCACTAGCAAGACTAATAAACAAGAAAAGAGAGAAGAATCAAATACACGCAATACAAAATGATAAAGGGGATATCACCACTGATCCCAAAGAAATACAAACTACCCTCAGAGAATACTATAAACACCTCTAGGCAAATAAACTAGAAAATCTAGAAGAAATGGATAAATTCCTCAACACATACATCCTCCCAAGACTAAACCAGGAAGAAGTTGAATCTCAGAATAGACCAATAACAGGCTCTGAAATTGAGGCAATAATCAATAGCTTACCAACCAAAAAAAGTCCAGGACCAGATGGATTCACAGCCAAATTCTACCAGAGGTACAAGGAGGAACTAGTACCATTCCTTCTGAAACTATTCCAATCAATAGAAAAAGAGGGAATCCTCCCTAACTCATTTTATGAGGCCAGCATCGTCCTGATTCCAAAGCCTGGCAGAGACACAACAAAAAAAGAGAATTTTAGACCAATATCCTTGATGAACATTGATGCAAAAATCCTCAATAAAATACTGGCAAACCAAATCCAGCAGCACATCAAAAAGCTTATCCATCATGATCAAGTGGGCTTCATCCCTGGGATGCAAGGCTGGTTCAACATGCACAAATCAATAAATGTAATCCAGGATATAAACAGAACCAAAGACAAAAACAACATGATTATCTCAATAGATGCAGAAAAGGCCTTTGACAAAATTGAACAACGCTTCATGCTAAAAACTCTCAATAAATTAGGTATTGATGGGACATATCTCAAAATAATAAGAGCTGTCTATGACAAACCCACAGCAAACATCATATTGAATGGGCAAAAACTGGAAGCATTCCCTTTGAAAACGGGCACAAGACAGGGATGCCCTCTCTCACCACTCCTATTCAACACAGTGTTGGAAGTTCTGGCCAGGGCAATTAGGCAGGAGAAGGAAATAAAGGGAATTCAATTAGGAAAAGAGGAAGTCAAATTGTCCCTGTTTGCAGATGACATGATTGTATATCTAGAAAACCCCATCGTCTCAGCCCTAAATCTCCTCATGCTGATAAGCAACTTCAGCAAAGTCTCAGGATACAAAATCAATGTACAAAAATCACAGGCATTCTTATACACCAATAACAGACAAACAGAGAGCCAAATCATGAGTGAACTCCCATTCACAATTGCTTCAAAGAGAATAAAATACCTAGGAATCCAACTTACAAGGGATGTGAAGGACCTCTTCAAGGAGAACTACAAACCACTGCTCAATGAAATAAAAGGATACAAACAAATGGAAGAACATTCCATGCTCATGGGTAGGAAGAATCAATATCATGAAAATGGCCATACTGCCCAAGGTAATTTATAGATTCAATGCCATCCCCATCAAGTTACCAATGACTTTCTTCACAGAATTGGAAAAAACTACTTTAAAGTTCATACGGAACCAAAACAGAGCCCACATTGCCAAGTGAATCCTAAGCCATAAGAACAAAGCTGGAGGCATCACACTACCTGACTTCAAACTCTACTACAAGGCTACAGTAACCAAAACAGCATGGTACTGGTACCAAAACAGAGATATAGACCAATGGAATCGAACAGAGCCCTCAGAAATAATGCCGCACATCTACAACTATCTGATCTTTGACAAACCTGACAAAAACAAGCAACGGGGAAAGGATTCCCTGTTTAATAAATGGTGCTGGGAAAACTGGCTAGCCATATGTAGAAAGCTGAAACTGGATCCCTTCCTTACACCTTATACAAAAATTAATTCAAGATGGATCAAAGACTTACATGTTGGACCTAAAACCATAAAAACCCTAGAAGAAAACCTAGGCAATACCATTCAGGACATAGGCATGGGCAAGGACTTCATGTCTAAAACACCAAAAGCAATGGCAACAAAAGCCAAAATTGACAAATGGGATCTAATTAAACTAAAGAGCTTCTGCACAGCAAAAGAAATTACCATCAGAGTGAACAGACAACCTACAGAATAGGAGAACATTTTTGCAACCTACTTATCTGACAAAGGGCTAATATCCAGAATCTACAATGAACTCAAATTTACAAGAAAAAAACAAACAACCCCATCAAAAAGTGGGCAAAGGATATGAACAGACACTTCTCAAAAGAAGACATTTATGCTGCCAAAAAACACATGAAGAAATGCTCATCATCACTGGCCATCAGAGAAATGCAAATCAAAACCACAATGAGATACCATCTCACACCAGTTAGAATGGCAATCATTAAAAAGTCAGGAAACAACAGGTGCTGGAGAGGATGTGGAGAAATAGGAACACTTTTCCACTGTTGGTGGGACTGTAAACTAGTTCAACCATTGTGGAAGTTGGTGTGGCAATTCCTCAGGGATCTAGAACTAGAAATACCATTTGACCCAGCCATCCCATTACTGGGTATATACCCAAAGGATTATAAATCATGCTGCTATAAAGACACATGCACACGTATGTTTATAGTGGCACTATTCACAATAGTAAAGACTTGGAACCAACCTCAATGTCCAACGACGATAGACTGGATTAAGACAATGTGGCACATATACACCATGGAATACTATGCAGCCATAAAAAATGATGAGTTCATGTCCTTTGTAGGGACATGGATGAAACTGGAAACCATCATTCTCAGCAAACTATCGCAAGGACAAAAAACCAAACACCGCATGTTCTCACTCATAGGTGGGAATTGAACAATGAGAACACATGGACACAGGAAGGGGAACATCACACACCGGGGACTGTTGTGGGGTGGGGGGAGGGGGGAGTGATAGCATTAGGAGATATACCTAATGCTAAATGATGAGTTAATGGGTGCAGCACACCAACATGGCACATGTATACATATGTAACAAACCTGCATGTTTGCACATGTACCCTAAAACTTAAAGTCCAATAATGATAAAATTAAAAAATAAAATAAAATAAAATAAACTTGCTCTAATTTTTAGGCAAAGCCATAGTTTACTTTGTATTCATAATGTCTTAGGTTTGCTGAGCTTTTCAATTATGAAAATTTATATTCTTTATCAAATTGTGGATTTTTTTGGCCACTGTTCTTCAGATTTTTCCTTTCTTATTCTTTCTCTCTTTTTGTTAGGAACTTTAATTATGCATATGTGAGTTCCTTAGATGATGTCTCAAAGATCTCTTAGGCTCTGCTTCTTTTTATTTAAATGTTTTTTTTCTTCTTCCAATTAGATGATTTTAGTTTATTCATCTTAAAGTTAACTGCATCTGTTCTGTAATAACTGTTCTAAATAAATCTATTTAGTTATTATTTTTTACCCAATGTATTACATTTTAAGCTCTGAAATTTTCCGTTTTTTTATGGTTTCTATTTTTATGCAGACCTTTTGTATCTTCTCTATCATTGAAAGCATTTTTTTTACATTATCGAGAAAAATAATGATAGCTATTTTAAAATTCTTCTTTGCTAATTTTAACATCTGCATAACCCCGTGATATGGTTTGGCTTTGTCTCCACCCAAATCTCATCTTGTATTGTAGCTCCCATAATTCTCATGTGTCATGAGAGGGACCCAGTGGGAGGTAATTGAATCATGGAGGCAGGTATTTCCCATGCTGCTCTCATGGTAGTGAATATGTCTCACCAGAACTGATGGTTTCTTAAAAGGGTAGCTCCCCTGCACAGGCTCTTACCTGCCACCATGTAAGACATGCCTTTGCTTTACCTTTGCCTTCTGCCATGATTGTGAGGGCTCCCCAACCATGTAGAACTGTGAATCCTTTAAAGTTATTTTTCCTTATAAATTATTCAGTCTCAGGTATTTCTTCAGAGCTGTATGAAAATGGACTAATACAGTAAATGGGTACCAGTAGAGTGGGGTACTGCTATTAGGACCCAAAAATGTGGAGAGGACTTTGGACCTGGGTAACAAGCAGAGGTTGGAACAATTCAGAGGACTCAGAGGAAGACAGAAAAATGTGGGAAACTTTGGAACTTCTGCACCATGCACCTGGAAAAGCCATAGACACTCAAGGCCAGCCTGTAAAAGCAGCAAGAATGGGGAGCCACAGGGAGGGAGCTGCCCAAGGCTGTGGGAACCCACCTCTGCATGACCTGGATGTTAAACATGGAGCCAAAAGAGATCATTTCAAAGCTTTAAGATTTGACTGCCCTGCTGGATTTCAGACTTGCACAGGCCCTTAGCCCCTTCATTTTAGCCAATTTCTCCCATTTGGAATGGGTGTATTTATCCAATGCCTGTACCCCCACTGTATCTAAGAAGTTAACTAACCTGCTTTGATTTTATAGGCTCATCAATGGAAGGCATTTGCCTTATCTCAAATGAGTCTTTGGAGTTGGACTTTTTAGTCCAACTCATGTTGAAATGAGTTAAGACTTTGGGGGACTATTGGCAAGGCATGATTGGTTTTGAAATGTGAGGACCTGAGATCTGGGAGAAGCCAGGGTGGAAAGATACAGTTTATTTGTGTCCCCACCCAAATCTTATCTTGAATTATATCTCCCATAATCCCCATGTTTCAAGGGAGGGACCCAGTGAGAGGTAATTGAATCATGGGGGCAGGTATTTCCCATGCTGTTCCCCTGATAGTGAATAAGTCTCATGAGAACTGATGGTTTTATTAAAAGGGCAGTTCCCTGCACATGCTCTCTTACCTGCCACCATGTAAGACATACCTTTGCTCCTCCTTCACCTTCCGCCATGATTGTGAGGCCTCCCCAACCATGTGAAACTGTGAGTCCATCAAAGCTGTTTTTCCTTGTAAAGTACTTAGTCTTGGGTATTTCTTCATAGCAGTACAAAAATGGACTAATATACAAGGCAAATATACTAATGATAATGACCAATGTACGTTTTATGGTAAACAATTTGTGGCCAAAACAAAACAGGAAAATGAGAAATAATGTCTGCTAGATATGATTCTCCTAAAAAAAAATTCTGCATTATTTAAGTTGTAGCACACATTTTGTGGCTAGCTCATTACCTTCGCTATAGTGAAATATGTATCTTCTAGATGTTTAATAAGAAGACAATTCTTATAGCTGCTTATAATTATAATTTATCTTTATGAAAAATTAGTTTCAATGAGTATTCAAATAATTTTAAATGTCTTGTATTTTATAATTTTGTATTTGTACAATATGTAAATTATTGTATTCATATTTTAATTGCTTTGTTTTTTAAATATAAACTGAAAGCTAACATGTCAACATCAAAATCAATTTTCAAAATAGTAATAGAATGCATTAGCATCATTAATAATTATTAGTTAATAGGATTTGTTTTCTATGTCAAAAACACGTTTATAATTTATATGAATTTGTTAGCAAAATTATATATTCTATTTCTTTTCACTATTAATATAACTATTAATTATAGTTCCTACAAATTAACATCCATGTGACAATGTATCCTAAAAATCTCATGTAGTCCATTACTTATCAAAAAACTTTTAAAATTGTTTTACATTTTTTCAGTTTAAAAATTTTATGAAAAGAGAACAGATAAATTCCTACTGTATTGTATAAATAGAAGTTCCATAAGGAAGTTTTAAGGGATGAATAACTTTTTATCAGCATAACTTAAAATGAAGGTCACAGTATTTTACAGATATGTAAGAAGAAATCCTTCACAGACTCCATCACTATGATGTCCAGGATGAGGACATGCTGGGAAATTAAAAGGAGAATTAAGTATCTTTTTCAAAAAGGAATTACAATGTAGATGAGGAGTAAAAAATACACACATGAGGCAGTTAAGTAGAAATATAAGGTAAATATGCTAAAGCTATTTTATGCAGATGATTTTAAGTGCAAATGAAAGTCTTGAGAAAAGACTCAATGAAGCATATGGGTCTGGAGATAAGCCAAGCTCTATTGAGAAGGCCAATGAAAAGAGAAGTGCCAGGCTGTTCTAGAGCAATGTGAAGAAATTAATCAAGTCTAGAGAGCAAATGTATGTAATTTTCTGTGGTCCTGGAGCAAAAAGAAAGAGATTTAAATGTACAACAGAGGTCTTCAGAGTCTCTAACAACTCTACGTACATCATGTATAGACTTTCTATGTATGCAGTTTTGTTAGAGAGTTGAGTAACCCTGATTCTTAGCTGTAATAATTAATGGATGATTGAAAGAACTTTGACAAAAGTAAATGTAAATAAATATAAATATATATATATGTATGAGATCAAGTTATCATTGTTAACATAATATAATGGAGATTCTGCACCTATAGAAAATGTGCCTTAATATTACTGCTTTCTGAGGTGCTTAAAAAGCAAAGATAGGGTTTATACAATTTGAAAGTTTATATCCCCCCTAAATTTATATGGGGAATCCTAATCCCCAGCATCATTGTAATGGGAAGGTGAAGTCTTTGGAAAGTGATCAGAAGTAAGGATTTTGGGTAAACCCCTCATGAAGGTGATTAGTTACCCAAAGTGTCCCCAGGGATCTGCTTTGCCTCTTCCACCATGTGAGAACTCAGTGAGAAGGGGCTATCTATAAGAAACTGAGTCCTTGCCAGACACTGAGTCTGTCAGTATTTTGATCTTGAAATTTTCAGTGTCTAGAACTGTAACAAATGTATTTCTGCTGTTTACAAGCTACCCAGTTAATGGTATTTTGATTTATTAACCTGGATATATTTAAATAGGGGCTACTAAAATTATTATGAATTTAGATGAAGATAGAGGCATACTTTCCACATTTTCTATAGAAATAGCATACTTGTTTTAATTATAGAAATTATGTATTTTAATGCATTCACAGTATAAGTCTAATTGTTACAATTCTAGTCACAATGAGTAATAGCCTTTTACTTAAATAAGATAATAAGACAAGTAATCTCAGTGTTTAGTTTGTTTTGTAATGTTGTAGAGCTTAGGAAAGGAAATCTGGGTATGAATGACTTTGATCCCTCCATTATTCACAAAGTGGAAGAAGAAGAGTCTAGCTGTTATTTTAGCACTATTGTCCCTGTGGTTTATTATAAAGTCATTTTAAATGAGTCTTTAAAACAAAAACTAAAGAGGAAATCTTTTTAAATTTTAAAAAAACCTTAAAAATAACTTTAAAAAATTATTTGAAAGTCAATATTTATCTTGCAGGAAAATATAAAATAAAGGGAAAAAAAAGCCTGTTGTATTAGTCTGTTTGCATACTGCTAATAAAGACATGCCAAAGACTGGTTAATTTATAAATGAAAGAGGTTTAGTTGACTCACAGTTCCACATAGCTGGGTAGGCCTCACAATCATGGTGGAAGGGAAATGAGGAACAAAGTCTTACTGGCAGCAGGCTAGAGAGCTTGTGCAGGGGAACTCCCCTTTATAAAAGCATCAGACCTGGTGAGACTTATTCACTACCAGGAGAGAATAGTATGGGGAGACCACATCCATGATTCAATTATCTCCATCTGGGCCTGCCCTTGATATGTGGGGATTATTACAGTTCAAAGTGAGATGTGGGTGGAGACACAGCCAAATCATATCATTGCACCCCAGCCCCTCCCAAATCTCATGTTCTCACATTTCAAAACCAATCATGCCTTCCCAACAGTTCCCTGAAGTCTTAACTGATCTCAGCATTAAATCAAAAGTCCACAGTCCAAAGTCTCATTTGAGATAAGGCAAGTACTTTCTGTCTATGAGCCTGTAAAATCAAAAGCAAGTTAGTTAGTTCCTGGGTACAATGGGGGTACAGGCACTGGATAAATACACCTGTACCAAATGGGAGAAATTGGCCAAAATGAAGCAGCTACAGGCTCCATGAAAGTTCAAAATCCAGCAAGCAGTCAAATCTTACTGCTCCAAAATGATATCCTTTGACTCCATATCTCACATCCAGGTCACACTGATGCTAGAGGTGGTTGGCCACACTGATGCTTGAACAGCTCTGCCCCTGTGGCTTTGGAAGGTATAGCCCCCTCCTGGCTGCTTTCACTGTCTGGCCTTCAGTGTCTGGAGCTTTTCCAGGTGCACTGTGAAAGCTGTTCAATCTACCATTCTGGGATCTGTAAGACAGTGGCCATCTTCTCACAGCTCCACTAGGTAGTGCCCCAGTGGAGACTCTGTGTGGGGGCTCTCACCCATATTTCCCTTACACACTGCCCTAGCACAGGTTCTCCATGAGGGCTCCATCCCTGCATCAAACTTTTGCCTGGACATTTAGGTGTTTCTGTACATCCTCTGAAATCTAGGCAGAGGTTCTGAAACCTCAATTCTTGACATCAGTGCACCTGCAGGCTCAACACCACATGAAAGCTGCTAAAGCTTGGGGGTTGGACCCTCTGAAGTGAGTGCTTGAACTTTAATTTGACCCCTTTTAGCCATGGCTGAGATGCAGGGCACCGAGTCTTGAGGCTGTATGAAGAAGCAAAGCCCTGGGCCTGACACTTGAAGCCTATTTTTCCTCCTAGGCCTCCAGGCCTTTGATGGGACGAGCTGCCTTGAAGACATCTGAAATGCTCTGGAGACATTTTCTTCATTGTCTTGGTGATTAACATTTGGCTCCTCATTACTTATGTAAATTTAGCCAGCAGGCTTGAATTTCTCCTCTGAAAATGGGCTTTTCTTTTCTATTGCATCATCAGATTGCAAACTTTCCAAACTTTTATATTCTACTCCCCTTTTAAACATAACTTCCCATTCCAAATCATATCTTTGTAAATACATAAAACTAAATGCTTTTAATAGCACCAAAGTCATCTATTGAACACTTTGCAGCTTAGACATTTCTTCTACCAGTTGCCATAAATCATCTCTCTCAAGTTCAAAGTTCCACACATCTCTAGGGCAGGAACAAAATGCTTCCAGTCTCTTTGCTAAAATATAGCAAGAGTCACCTTTGCCCCAGTTCCCAAGTTCCTCATCTCCACCTGAGACCACTTCAGCCTGGACTTTACTGTACATATCACTATCAGTATTTTGGTCAAAGCCATTCAACAAGTGTCTAGGAAGTTCCAAACATTTCCACACTTTCCTGTCTTCCTTTGAGCCCCACAAACTCTTCCAACCTCTGCCTGTTACCCAGTTCCAATGTCGCTTTCATATTTTCAGGTATCATTAGAGCAGCACTCCACTTGACTGGTACCAATTTACTGTATTAGTCTGTTCTCACACTGCTAATAAAGACATACCCAAGACTGAGTAATTTATAAAGGAAAGAGGTTTACTTGACTAACTTTTCTACATGGCTGGGGAGGCCTCACAATCATGGCAGAAGGAGAATGAGGAGCAAAGTCACCTCTTACATGACAGCAGTCAAGAGAGCTTCTGCAGGGGTACTCTCATTTATAAAACCATCAGATCTCATGAGACTTATTCACTACCATGATTACGGTATGGGGGAAACTGCCCCCATGATTCAATTATCTCCACCTGGCCTTGCCCTTGACAGGTGGGGATTATTACAATTCAAGGTGAGATTTGGGTAGAAACACAGCCAAACCATATCATCTGTCAAACAATATTTTATAAATTTTCAAACTTTAGGTAACTATACAAAAATCTAACAGATAATCCAGAAATGATGTCCATGACAAATATAAACAAATCTGGATTTATGTAAGGAGAGACTTTATTTGAAAAGACTATTACAATAGGGAGGTCATTTTACTATTTATTTGTGTCTCTCAAAGTTCATGTGTTAGAAACTTAATCCCCAATTCAAAAGTGTTTTAAGGTGGGCCTGATAAGAAGTGATTACATCATGAGGGCTCTACCCTCTTGAATGGATGAGTGTAATTGTTATGGAAACAGGTTAGTTATTGCAAGAGTCAGCTTCTTATAAAAACAAGTTCAACCCTTGATCTATAGCTCTCTCTCTCAGGCTTTCTCACTCTTCTTCTTTCATAGGGAGATTCAGCAAGAAGACCCCCCATCAAATGTGGGTCTCTTGACCTTGGCCTTTTCAGCCTGTAGAACCATAAGAAATATCTATCTATCTATCTATCTATCTATCTATCTATCTATCTATCTATCTATCTATCTATATCCTATTCTGTAGTATTCTGTTTTAGCAACACAAAACAAACTAATACACACTTTGACCTCTGAATTTCTGGGCATCTCAAAAATCAAAGATAAAAATACTTTTCTTTTGAAGAAAGGGTTAAACATTAAACATGTATAGCCTGAACTTTATAAGCACTGAAGGTGAGCAGACAGCAGGATCATAGAGGTTTAACAGCATATATTTATGTGGCCTGCCAATTCTTAGTGTGAGTTGCTTAAAAGGAATGTTCTGTATCTTAGTGCTTGCTTATATGTGGGGACAAAATAGAGTTCAGGAAACTGCGGGTTGGAGAGGAGTCTGACAAGTCTTTGACACGCCAAATGGATGGGTAAGTTATGGATAATTGTGAGCACTTGGTCACTGGCAAACAATAGTCACATGTGAAAGTGGCAGCCTAGTGATACTTTGACTTTCATACTTTCTGGGCTGAGTGTTGTGGCTCACGACTGTAAACCCAGCACTTTGGGAGGTGGTGGTGGGCAGATCACCTGAGGTCAGGAGTTCGAGACCAACCAGGCTAATGTGGTGACACATCGTCTCTATTAAAAATACAAAAATTATTCTCTTGCCTCAGTTTCCCAAGTAGCTGGGACTACAGGTGCTTGCCACCACACTTGGCTAATTTTTTGCATTTTTAGTAGAGACGGGGTTTCACCATGTTAGCCAGCATGGTCTCGATCTCCTGACCTTGTGATCCGCCTGCCTCAGCCTCCCAAAGCGCTGGGATTACAGGCGTGAGCCACGCCACCACACCTGACCTGTAGTAATATAATTTTATAAAAGAAGAGACATTGAAAAATGTTTGTAATGGCAACTAACCTTTACTGAGTGTTTACACTCATGTTTACAACTACTTCATGGATTAGGAATTATCTAAATGAGAAGAAAATGTAGGCTTAAAGATGTTAAGTAATAAATCCATTTAACAACAGGTAATTACAGAGAAATGTTTCAAACTGATGTCTAATAATGCAGAGCCTAGGCACATGAGAACTGCTTCCTCTGACATGATGGACAAGAAAAAAATGATTAAATAAGGATAGGATTAACAAAGAATATATATACCTTGAAATATAGAATACTATCTAGGGACAGATCACAAATTTTCTTCGGACGTGTCTACCAGCCACAAGCTAAGGAAAAATAAAGATAAAAACCAGACATTTTAGAAAAAAATCATCTTTGCCTTTCTTTGACATTCAAAAGTTAAAAGTTTATTTAAATATCTAAGATAATCTCGGGGACATGATAGAAACTTATTATTTGTTGAAATGGAATTTAACACTGAGAGCCCACACATTTTCTTTGAAAATTATTTTCAATCAACCATTCTACCAGAGGTTTAATAAGTATTTTAATGTCATCTTTTGATACTTTTGAATGGCTCATGATTTGTATATTTAATGAATTAATATATAGTGTATTCACTTCTGTACGTCATGATCTATGATTTAACATATTTTTCAAAATGAAAGAAATGCCACTCAATTTATTGACTGATAATGCTCTTCATCTTTGATTTGTTACAACTATGTAAACATATATATATTGTATTATATTACATAGTTACATATTTTATTATATATGTATGTCTGTGATACATGTGTAATATGTATGCACATGTATACATGCATATATGTATATAAAATATAAGTTTACATACATATGTACTAAATATGTGTACCTTTTAGTGTTTATTGTTGAATTATTTTAGTTCTCTAAATTTTGTGTTATACTACAAAAGTTTTATACTTTATAGATTTATATTTATGACCTAGAAGGGAAAATCATTCCTTTTACTATTCTTTTGAAAAATACCTTTATACTTTTGCTTCTGTGGATAAAAATTAAAATAATTTTGTTATATTAAATATAAAAATAATTTAAGAATTTATATTTTGCAGTTGTTGTTGTCCTCAATGAAGAACATGATGTATACAAATACATAGATTAAAAAATAATTTTCTCGGTTGCATGGGAATGTAAAGTTTGGAGAAAAAATATTCAGCTCTGTCACTATAGTAATCTGATGACTGGAATTCAATTATTGTTTAGGCAACCTATTTATAACAAATAAATGATTCCTAATAGAAAAATGTCATCTAGTCTATTTGGAACTATGAATGAACTTTAAATACCCAGTGTGGACACTATAGCATTGGGTATCTCTGAAGACATAACTCTTATATTGAGAAGGGTAAATAGATGCTGTACAAAGAAATGTTAAAGGTGATATTTATTGCTATGGGAAATAAAGGTTTTAATCCAGAGGATGTTATGTGAGGGCAGCTCCCACACCTGCCCAATATGCATCTCCTCTATTCACACCTGGACTGTTCGCTGAGGAGAGACTAGCTCCCAAACTGTCCTAGAGACTACTTTAGGAACTGCTGCCACCAGGGTTCTTGCTGAAAGAAATGCCTGGCAATGCTATACTGTGAAGCTGTTCTTCCTACCTGGTCATCTTCTAGGTAACTGATGCCATGTGTTGGCCTATGGTAGTCTGTGATTCAGAATATTTATTTGAATCCTAGACAATTTCCTGGTCCTTATTATGGTGAAACTGAAACTTCAAATAATATTTAAATCCTTTTTTGTCACTTAAGCCCCCTACTCGTTCTACAACACCTACCTTTAAAAAGAAACAATCACCACTCCCCAGTAAGCAAATCCTTCTGCAGGTTCTGACCTCCAAGTCTCTTACATGTTAAAGATTTTGAAAATAACAAAAGTCTATTATTTATATTTTTCTCTAAAGTTTACATGACATGAGAAAAAAAATCTACATTATTTTAATGAAAGCTACTTTTGTGTATCTTGTTCATGATAATTATTTTTCATTTAAAATTTGATATTTAACAGTAATGTTTCAGATGAATTTTTTTCCCTATTGACAGCTTATCAAAATATTGTTAGTTGTTTCTTCTCATTTATTCCATTGAATCCTCAGAAAATATGTTGTAAACACTTCTGGGAATTACATGTTGCACTTGATGACCCAAGTAGCCTTACAGGGTAGGGTGTTCTAAAGGTTAATGGATTTTTGTGTGTTGATTGATTTTTTTTTAAGAATCAAAGGGAAACCATTTCAAGTGTCATCTTCCTTTCTCATTTTCTCTAAAATCTATATTTATAACATATTCATTTGAATATTCATATTTTATTCTATTGCTGAGACAGTTTTTAAAAGTTTCTCAAATTCTTTAACTGTTAAGGTTAGGTGAGGCATGTATGTTAATCTTGATAAGATTAAATCAAATGTTTGTTTATATTTTACTTAAAATTTATGGTTATAGAAATAAATTCCAAGACTATTTTTGTCATAACATTAATGACTATGGTTTAAGTCACACTACTAGAAAGCCTATATGCATAAGATGCACATTTTTTGCATCATATTATGATGTTATAGATTTTAAGAGCATCTCAAAAATAATAAAAATTATCTTCAAGTAATCTAGGTTCATCAATGGATTTAAGGAGTCAATTATACTCAGATACATAAGAAAATGTCTGAATTTGCTCCTAAAATGCACAAACCAATGTGGCTGGAATGCCAATTTGGTATGTTTATTATTGTATTAGTCTACTCTGGTTGCCGTAACAAAAATGTCACAAACTGGCTTATAATAATAGAATTTATTTCATACTTCTAGAGGCTTGAAGTCCAAGATCAAGGTGCCGTCAGAGTTGGTTTTTGGTGAAGCTTCTCTCTTGGGATTACAGATAGTGACTTCTTGCTGTGCCCTTACATGGTGTTTTCGTTGGTGTCTCCCCCTCTCCTTTTAACGACATCAGTCCTATTGAATTAGGCCTTCACCATTTATAGTGCCAAACTAATGTATATCTGGGCTTAATTTACAAAATCTTAAACTAAGTAAATTCTAATAACATGGATATGTGGCTTTAAAACATTACTATGAAGAAATAATTTTTTAAAATGATGATGAAGTCACCCACAAACATCAGGGAGATGACACTTCCCTTGCTTTTAGTTCTAGGAAATCATAAAGCACAGGAGGTTAAAAAAAGAAAATAATTTAACCATAATTCCCTTATTAATGGCCCTATCTTGAAAAACAGTCACACTGGGGGTTAGAACTTCAACATGTAAATTTGGCAAGGAGGGTGCACGGTTTAGTCTATCCAGTCATAGACTGGATAGATTCTCACCAGGGACTTTTTCAGCCCATACAATCATAGTTCAGTAAAAGATCCAAGAAAGCTTCAGTGAATCTCAAACAATTCCAAAGAGATTCAGAAAATTCAAAGCTAATATTACATTCCTCCTATATTTAATTAAAATGTGTAGGATAACTAAATTCTATTTCTAATGTCTACAAAGTTTTCTTATAAACTTCATTCAATAGATAAATATCAGCAAATATCCTTTATATTCAGGATTACCTTAGATTATATTGGATATTTCCTTAATGAGGTTATTCTTGAATTTTTCTTTTTCCTTACATCACCCACCCAAGTCTTCAGCAAGTAAACTTAGCTTCTCATCATATTAATTTCTACAATCCCAAGGAAATGTACTATATTATTGAAAGGTCTAGTAATAGTAGGCAGTCTACAGGTCTTTATTGATATTTAACATTCTAATTGATACTGATACTTTTCCTCAATGCTTATGTCACTGATGGTACAAGAGGTGTACAGAGGGAAGCAAGGTAGGGATAAAAGTATGGTAGACACTGAAACCTTCACTTAATCTTTTGGCTCAGTATAAAGTGTCATATTACTGTAGGTCTGGGTTTAATTTATAAAATATTAAACTAAACTAAATCAACTACATCAAATGTATATGTAACTTTAAAACATTCCTGTGAGGAAATAATAAAAGAATGATGAAATCACCAGCAAACATCAGGGAGAAGACATATCTCGTGCTCTTAATTCTAGGAAATCATAACATACATTAGGTTAAAAAGAGAAGACAAGCACTGTCCTCAAAAATAACACAATAATTATGACATAATAATATATTGTGTATATTTATATTGTTTTTATTTTATATTTTCAACTTTGATTTTAGATTCAGGGGGTACATGTGTAGGTTTGTTACGTGAGTGTATTGTAGATACTGAGATTTGAGCCACAAATGATCACATCACCCAGGTATAAACATAGTACACAACAGGGACTTTTTCACCCCTTGCTCTCCTCCCCATCTCCCACCACCAGCAGTTCCCAGTGTCTATTTTTGCCATGTTTTTGTTCATGTATACTCACTGCTTAGCTCTCACTTACATGTGAGAACCTGCAGTGTTTGGTTTTCTGTTCCTGTGTAAATTCACTTAGGATAATGGCTTCTAGCTGCATTCATGTAGCTGAAAAGGGCATACTTTCATCCTTTCTTATGGCTGTGCAGCATTCCATGATGTATATATACCACATTTTCTTTACTCAATCCAGCACTGATGAGCACCTAACTTGATTCCATGACTTTGCTATTGTGAATAGTACAACAATGAATATAGAAGTGCATGTGTCTTTTTTGTAGAACAATTTATTTTCCTTGAGCTATATATCCAATAGTGGAATTACTAGGTTGAATGGCAGTTCTGTTTTAGGTTCTTTGAGAAACTTCCAAACTACTTTCCACAGTGGCTGAACTAATTTACATTCCTACCAGCTGTGTATAAACCTTCCCTTTTCTCTGCAACCTTGCCAGCAACTGTTGTTTTTTGACTTTTTGATAATAGTCAGACTGACTATGAGATGGTATCTAATTGTGGTTTTGATTTAGATTTCTCTGATGATTAGTGATGTTGAGCATTTTTTCATATGTTTTTTGGCCACTTATTTGTCTTCTCTAGAGAAATGTCTGTTCATGTATTTTGCCCGCTTTTTAACGGGGAACTCTCACAACTCCTACTCAACATAGTACTGGAAATCCTAGCCAGAGCAATCAGGCAATAGAAAGAAATAAAAGGCATCCAAATAGGAAAAGAAAAAGTCAAATGATCTCTCTTCACTGAAGATAAAATTCTATACCTACAAAACCCTGAAGACTCCACCAAAATTATCCCAGAACTGATAGATGACTTTAGTAAAGTTTCAGGACACAAAATCAATGTGCAAAAATTAGTAGCAATAATAACATTCAAGATGAGAGTTAAATCAAGAACACAATGCCATTTACCTAGACACATAAAAAAATGAAATACCTAAGAATACACCTAACCAAGGAGGTGAAAGATCTTTGTGAAGAGAACTACAAAACATTGCTGAAATAAATCATAGATAACACAAACAAATGGAAAAACATTCCATTCTCATGGATTGGAAGAATCAATATCATTAAAATGGCCATAATGCCCAAAGCAATCTACAAATTCAATTATATTACAGTCAAAATACAACATCACTTTTCACATAATTAGACAAAAAACAATTCTAAAATACATATAAATCAATAAAGAGTCAAAGCAATCCTAAGCAAAGAGAACAAAACTGGAGTCATCTTATTACCTGGCTTTGAACTATACTTTAAAGCTTTAAAGCAACAGTCACCAAAACAGCAGGGTACTGGCACCAAAATAGACACGTAGACAAATGAACCAGAATACAGAACCCAGAAATAAAGCCACATAGCTCCAGCCACCTGATCTTCAACAAAGTTGACAAAAATAAGTATTGGGGAAAAAAGTCCTTATTCAGTAAATGGTCTGGGGTAGCTGGCTAGCCATATGCAAAAGAATGAAACTGGGTCCCTACCTTTCACCATATGTGGAAATTAACTGAAGATGAACCAAAGATTTAAATGTAAGACCTCGAACTATAAGAATACTAGAAGAAAATCTAGGGAAAAACATTCTGTACATTGGCCCTGGCAAATAATTTATAAGTAAGCCCTCAAAAACAATTGCAACAAAAACAAAATTTGACAAGTGAGACTTAATTAAACTAAAGAGCTTCTACACAGCAAAAGAAATGATCAATAGAGTAAAAGACAACTGACAGAATGGGAGAAAATATTTGCAAACTATGCATCAGACAAAGGTCTAATATCCAGAACCTATAAGAAACAAACAATTCAATAAGCAAAAATACAAATATGTTTATAATTATACATACAGACGGTCTCTGACGTATGATGGTTCAACTTATTAATACAATTTTTCAAATTTATCATGGTGCAAAACCAAATTGCATTTAGTAGAAACCATATGTCAAATTTTGAATTTTGATCTTTTCCTGGGATAATGATATGATTTACTTTATGATAATCTCTTGCTATCCTGGGCAGTGGTAGACAGCCTCAGTT
Source organism: Homo sapiens (assembly GCF_000001405.40). Lineage (NCBI taxonomy): Eukaryota > Metazoa > Chordata > Mammalia > Primates > Hominidae > Homo > Homo sapiens. Next base: position 81,767,565 of record NC_000013.11, read on the forward strand.
CCCAGTCAGCCATGTGATCACATGGGTAAACAACCAATACTTTACAAGGTACTATGTTGCCAGATGATTTCTACCCAACTGTAAACTAATATATGTGTACCGGGCACATTTAAAGTAGGCTACACAGCTGGGCATGGTGGCTCATGCCTGTAATCCCAGCACTTTAGGAGGCTGAGATGTGCAGATCACTTGAGGCCAGGAGTTTGAGACCAGCCTGGTCAGCATGGCGAAATCCCATATATACTAAAAATACAAAAATTAGCTGGGTGTGGTGTCACTGGCCTGTAATTTCAGCTACTAGGGAGGCTGAGGGACAAGAATCACTTGAACACAGCAGGTAGAGGTTGCAGTGAGCTGAGATCACGCTGCTGTACTCCAGCCTGGGTGGCACAGCATTACTCTGTCTCCATCAATCAATCAATCAATCAATCAATCAAGTATGCTATGCTAGGCCATGACGTTCAGCAGATTAGATGTATTAAATGTATTTTTGACTTAGGATGTTTTCAATTTATGATTGGTTTAAGAATAATTTAATAATTATTATATGTGATATATGATATATAATTATATATTTATAATTATATACATTCATTTTACATTCTTCTTACATTGTTGTACCTGATTTAGAATACGCATGTTGATCAAGCTAGTAGTCATGTATATCATTCAAAAATAAATATTTTCCAGCGTGTATGCTGAAGTCATCTTTTATCATCTAACTTGATGGTTAAACAACCAGTTTTGGTGACCATGTGGCTGAATAACTGAGGCAACTCCATACTGGTGAATCCGCCTCTCTCCTCTTGGTTCTGTCATTCACACAGCAGTGGAGAGGTCTTCTTAAAACTGACACCAGAGCAAGCTATTCCCTTTTTACAATACTCCAGTGACTATCCATTACTTCTATTTAAGGTTCTTGGAGTTTCTAAAAGTTCTGGCCTGTATCATTTTTCTTGACTTGTCTTGCTCCTGCAGCTCAGTGATAAAAGTTTTCCTATGTCTAAATCTTTCATACATTTGTTACATTTTCAGTTTTGTTTATACATATTTTTTTCCTTAATAAATATTTTAGAGGTCTTTAGTCTATCCACCAATCTAGTGTCTAATTCACCTTTAAAGTAATCATACAACTTACTAATCTTTACTGAGTTGCAGTTTGTTTCTTATTTGCAAAAAGAATAAAGCAGCTTGGCATATTCTCTTCTGACTTTGTGCATATTTTATTCTGTGATGTAATAGTAATGGAAAACAGAAAAGTGTGGAGGCTAAGATCCTTTTATATTCATATAAAATTTTGCATATATTTGCATTTAAATATGCAAAAAATTTACTTCCCTACATTCTATTATATAGAAGTAGTCCTTATGGTTTTGTAAACAAAAACTGGTCTGTAATTATTTTTTCTTTGTTGTTTTAGCACCAATATTGCAAGAGTTGTTTGGAAGTTAAAAAGGGAGATGCATTATTTGTACTTCTTAATGTATAATGTGAAGTTGAAGTGGAATTATCATTGAGTTTATTACTCTTGTTTCAATAATGTTAAAACAAGTTATCTGTGAATTTGCATTACAGGATGACTGACTCAGCCCACTACACTCTCAAGTTAGAAATAGATGCCCCTTTAACTTTCAAATTTGTTTTCAAATTTTATCCCAGTCTATATGACAACTCTATCAATTTTCTCTTTCCTCCTGACTTTGAGTGTTTTATATTTATAATAAATATTTGAAAAATAAATGCCTCTATGTCAGTTGGAATCGTCAAGCCATCCATTGTTTTACACAAGATAAATGCAAGAGGAATGATTTTGGAGGTATATTTGTTTCATTATTTCTGTTCCTTTTATTGATAAATATTCCAAATATCCAAATTTTCTGTCTCTTTTGGTGACCTAGCTTAGGTGTTCAAATTTGAGCTGTTGAGTATCGGAGGTTAAAATTGTATCTATGAGAGACACAGAAGCCATTACTGCATGACATCAAGCATAGTTTGATAGGGGTTGTATATTTTATCAATATACATTTTATCCCAGTATTACCCACAAGTATTTTGTCACTTTGTCATTTTATCTAAGGATCCCTTGTTGGACATATATGAAGCTGCTGTCTTTCCAAGGAGAAAGCATGCATAATGCCCACAGGTAGAGTAAGGCCCTGGCTGAAACTAGTTTGGAAGTACCGTGTTATAATTTTAACAGTTGATGAACAGAATTTTGCAATAAAAGGAAGAATATTTCAAAAATCATCATGAGTCCTCAGAACTAGACAACCAGATGCCCACTTGATAACAACACACTAGGTCTCCACAGAAGACTAGTCATTTAACTGCAAGCTCCATAGTTCCATACCACTATTCACATCCTATTCATGAATAACAAAGGTTTGTGCAGATCAGTCAAGAGACAGGTGTTTATTGGGCCCTGGTGCTGGAAGCATTTCTCTTTCTTGGTGTGTGGTTTCTAATATTTTTTTCTGTTTCCTTCCAGCTGCCCCCCAGCACCCACCTGTATAGTGGTTATTATATTAATAATATAGTCAGGGATGGACAATTCCTTCATAGCCAAATCTTCCTTAGGAAGACATTGTGTAAACAGGGGATAACAACAACAAACACAAACCAACAGTAACAATAGCTTGGCCCTAAGGCTTATTGGAACTTTTCTCTTATTTAGGTATCTTTTATGAATTTTTCTACTGGGGGGTGTGGCACTGGGGAGTGAACTTAGAATTTTAAGAGTCTGTGAGTTTGACAAAAAGATTAACTAAAACTCTTATTTAAGCTTACCTCTATCATGGAAAAAAATATTGTGCACAATTTATACTAAGAAAATACAGAGTGATTTTGAAATCAACCACTAATACCACCATCACTAGTTTCCTTACAATCACTCCTTTTTTTCACATCAAGTGCCCTACTGATATATTTTCCTTTAAAATCCAGCCCGGCAGATAGATGCTATCTCAGTAGCTTACTGTTTGAAAATGAGATTGAGGAATTGTGATTCAGCCACGTCAATGAGACACATGAGACTTG